>NT_187616.1:0-108763 GCF_000001405.40 Homo sapiens | reverse complement strand
GGGCATGGTGGCGCGTGCCTGTAATCCCAGCTACTCAGGAGGCTGAGGCAGGAGAATTGCTTGAACCGGGACCCGGGAGGTAGAGGCAGCAGTGAGCCAAGATCGTGCCACTGCACTCCAGCCTGGGCTGCAGAGCGAGACTCTGTCTCAAAAAGAATTGCTCAGGTGATAAAGGACATGAATATTTTTAAAAATTTATTCTTTAAATTAATATATCATAAAGCTCATTCTTTTGGAGTACAGTTCCACGAGTTTTTAAGAAATGCACAGATCTGTAACCATCACCATAGGAGAGTTCCATCACCTCCCCATATTCCCTTGAGCAGCCTCTTGGCCCCTTGTAGTTAAACCCTACCCTCAACCTATCCCTGTTTCCCTTTTGTTTAACCTCTGGTGACCTCTGAGCTGTTCTCTGCCCCTATATTTTTGCCTCTTCCAGAATGTCACCTAAATGGACTCATGCAGTATGTAGCCTTTTGGATCTAACTTCTTTCTACTTGGCGTCATGCATTTCAGAGAACTTCATTATGTTGCAAGTGTCAACAGCGTGTTCCTTTTTAAGGCTGAGTAGCATTCCATCGTGTGGATACACCACAATTTGTTTACTTTCACCAGTTGAAGGACATTTGTGTTGTTTCCTGATTTTTCAGCAATTATGAATGAAACGTCTATCAATATTGGCATACAGGCTTTTGTGTAAACATATGTTTACATTTCTCCTGGCTAAATACCCGGGAGTGAGATGGCTGGGTCATGTGATAGGAAACCTCCAAACCGTTTTCTAAAGCGGATAAGCCGTTCTTCAGTCCCAGCAGAGTTCTAGTTGCTCTGCACCCTCACTAGCCCTTGGCCTCATCACTTTTTTGTTTTGTTTTGTTTTTAAAACTTGAGCCATTCTAATGAGTGTAGTAGTGGTCTCTGGTGACTTTCATTTGTATTTCCCTAATGACTAATGATGTCGAGCATCTTTTCATGTGCTCATTTGCCATCTGTACATCTTCTTTGGTGTCAAAATCTTTTGCTTGTTTTTTAATCCATTTGTTTAATTATGGTAGAGTTTTGAGAGGCTTTTTATTTTGAGATGGAGTGTGGCTCTGTTGCCCAGGCTGGAGTGCAGTGGCGCAATCTCGGCTCACAGCAACCTCCGCGTCCCAGGTTCAAGCAATTCTCCTGCCTCAGCCACCCGAGTAGCTGGGACTACAGGCACACGCCACCCTGCCTGGCTAATTTTTGTATTTCTAGTAGAGACGGGGTTTCACCATATTGGTCAGGCTGGTCTTGAACTCCTGACCTCAGGTGATCCACTTGCCTCAGCCTCCCAAAGTGCTGGAACTACAAGTGTGAGCCACTGTGCCCGGCCCCGAGAGTTCTTTTTCTGTATTCTGCATAGAGGACCTTTGTCAGATATGTGATTTGCATTTCTTTTTCTCCCAGTCCCTGGCTTGCCTTTCCCTCTTCTTAACAGTGCCTTTGGAGATCGAAAGTTTTTAATCTTGATGAACTGCCAATTTATCAGTTTTTCTTTTTTTTTGTTTTATGAATTGTGCTTTTGGTGTTACGTCTAAGAATTTTTTGCATAACTTAAGTTTGCAAAGGTTTTCTCCTATTTTTTTTTTCTAAAAGTTTTACGTTTTACATTTAAGTCTACTATCTATTTGAAGTTTCAAAAAAATATGGTGTCAGGTAGAGTTCAAGGTTGAGTTTTTTTTTTTCATATGGATGTTAAATTGTCCCAGCAGCATTTATTGAAAAGACTGTATTTTCTCCATTGAATTAACCTTTCGCTTTTGTAAAAAGTTCGTGAGCCATATTTGTTTGGTTCTGTTTTTGGACCCTTCATTCTGATTCATTGGTTTTTGTGCGTATCCTTTCTCCTTTCACATTTTAGAATCAGCTTGCCAATATCTACAAAAAATCCTAATGGCACCAGGCGTGGTGGCTCACGCCTGTAATCCCAGCACTTTGGGAGGCTGAGTCGGGTGGATCGTTTGAGGTCAGGAGTTTGAGACCAGCCTGGCCAACATGGTGAAACCCCATCTTTACTAAAAATACAAAACTTAGCTGGGTTTGGTGGTGCGCGCCTGTAATCCCAGCTACTTAGGAGGCTGAGGCTAGATAATCGCTTGAACCCGGGAGGCGGAGGTTGCAGTGAGCAGAGATTGCACCCCTGCACTCTGGCTTGGGCGACAAAGCAAGACTCCATCTCAGAAAAACAAATCCCAATGGGATTTTGACTGGGGTTGCACTGAATCCATAAACCAATTTGGAGGAAATTGACATCTTAATAAATATAGAGTTTTCCATTTTATGAACATGGTATATTCTCCAAAGTCTTTGATTTCCTTTATCAGTGTTTTGTGGTCTTCATCATACATACTCTACCGTTGGTTAGATTTATACCTCTAAGTGTTTTATGGTACTATTTTAAATTATACTGTATTTTAAATTTCTAATTGCTCATTGCTAGTATATAGAAATATAATTGACTTTGTATGTGCTAGCCCTGTATCCTCCAACCTCACTAAACTCATTTATTGGTTCTAAGAATTTTTTGGTAGATTCCTTGGAATTTTCTGTCATGTCTATGAATAGTGACAGTTTTATATCTTCCTTTCAATCTGTATGCTATTAATTTCATTTTCTTACCTGATTGTACTGGCTAAGACTTGCAGTATAATGTTGAAGGGAGGAGTAAGAGCAGACAGTCTTGCCTTATTTCTGATGTTAGGGGAAAATCATTGAGTGTTTCACATTGAGTGTGATGTTACCTGTAGGTTTTCGGTAGATGAACGGTATGCATATTTGAAAAGCCACCACTGTCCTGAAAGATGTCACAATATAGAAATGGTATAGATTTGGAGTTCAGAGAATAAGTTCTGGAGTCAGACTTACTGGGTTTGAATTCTGACTCGACTCCTTAGCGGCTGCTAGATGTTGGAGTTTTGGGAAGATAGGCTAAGCGAATACATGTAAAATGCTTAGAATGGTGCCTAGTATATTGTATGCTCTCAATGAATGTTAGTTGTTATTCTGTTTGGACAACAGTAAAAATAGCCAAAGAGCTCATGGAGCCTGGATGTAGGAATTTTTTGGCCCAGACCGTGGGGATTTTGATGCCCATATTGGAAACTTTGGAGAATGTTTTGGTTCAGGTGTGGATTCTTATTGAGTCATTGAGCACATTTGGGTCCGAACACTCTCTGAATCAGGGATATGGAGGAATCCATACCAAAAGAACAGGTTGTTTCATAGAAACAGGGAGGGGAACATCACACACCGGGGCCTGTGGGGGGTGGGGGGTAGGGGAGGGATAACATTAGGAGAAATACCTAATGTAGGTGACGGGTTGATGGGTGCAGCAAACCACCATGGCATGTGTATACCTATGTAACAAAACTGCATGTTCTGCACATGTAACCCAGAACTTAAAGTATAATAATAATAATAATAAAAGAACAGGTCATTCTTCAGGTAGAAGAGGAAAGATAAATCCCTAAAGAAACTGGATTTAAATTCTGACTCAGCTCCTTAGTGGCTGCTAGACGTTGGAGTTTTGGGAAGATAGGCTAAGTGAATACATGTAAAATGCTTAGAATGGTGCCTAGTATATTGTATGCTCTCAATGAATGTTAGTTATTCTGTCTGGACAACAGTAAAAATAGCCAAAGAGCTCATGGAGCCTGGATGTACAAATGTGAGGTTAACGAAAAATATACTATAAAATCGATGTGATAAATTATAGAGAATTGCAGTGAGAGGTGTAGAAGACGTGCATGTCTGTGGTGAGAGCAGGGCCTGGGGTTGGGGGTTGAATCACAGCATATGGTAGGAGCATGGCTCATGGTTCACTAGTCACAGTGGACTTTGTTCATCTTCCCCCTTGCCTCTACCGAGTTGTAGAGCAAGATCTTAGATCAGAGAATGAAAGCTGAAGTCGTAAGCATTTGAGTCATGCAGTGGGCTGAGCTCCCTGTCACTGAAAGGATTCAAGCAGAGTTGTGGTGACCAGTGGTCAGGGAAGTTACAGAGAGGCTTGTTGTGCAGTGTGAAAGTTTGAGTTGAGTAACTTGCTAAGACTTTCGTCATGTTCCAAGATTCCTCAACCTTGAACCAAGAATAAGGACACCTGGGGAGGGGGCCGGGCAGCTGAGCCCATGGCTCCCCAGCCTCCTCTGTCTATCTGGTGCATTTGGGAAGGGATCATGTGACACAAAATTTGGGGCAGCGGATGAACGGAGAGCGGGTTCTGGGCTGAGATCTTGGAGATGGGGAGTGGGAGCTTGGGCATAGCCTTCGAGGCACAGTCCCACAGGTGAACAGATGCAGTAGCAGGTGAGGCCATTGGCGGCTGCAGCTCTCTTGGCTGGGCTCACTCAGCTACACAGCCTACGCTTTCTGCAAGGTGTTGCCATGGTAACCTTTTCCTCTCGCTTCTGCAGTCCACCAGTACTTCTCGACTTGGTTAACAAGGCATCTCTTCCTGTTTGGTTTCATCTCGTCTTGTCTTTTTTCTTGCTCTCTCCATTTCTCTTGGTCTCTTTCACTCACTCCTTTGCAGCTCTCTCTGTACCTCTCTTTTTGGGCCTGTACTCCTCTTTGTCTTCTGTTTCAGGTGATCTGCCCCTCTTCCATCTATCCAAGGCTGGAGTGAGGTCCCCCAGCCTCTCTCTCACTTCTAAGCATCAGCAGCTCCTTGAAGAATTCTCTCAGGCTCTCTTGGACCCAGGGCTGCCACGTGCAGCCCCAGTGCAGCATTTCCTGGGTGGTTGGTACCAGGAATTGGAAGAGCTCTTCTGGGGCCCTGTCTTCTTTCTTTGTATGGAGACCCATGTGGGTAGATGCCACCCTGGGGTCCTTCCCTCTCTTTGGAAAACGAGATCTGGGTGAAGTTCTCCTCTAGGCTTGGTTTAGGTTGACTTACACAGTGGAAGCCCATTAGCCTACAGTGCTAAATAAACTCAGCCACTGGTCTGTTGCTAGGGCCCCACCATACATTCAGGATGGAAGTGACCAGTCTAGATGCTTCCGTGAGATTTATTATGGAACACAAGCCTCTCCTTGAGGCCACCCTTCTCAGTGCCTCTGTGACAATCCTTCAGCCCCTCATCCAGCCTGCTTGATTAGAGTTATTAACCACTTAGTGTCAAACTGTAGTCGCTTCTTCTGTGTGTCTCAGCCAGGGAGTAAAGAAGATTTGCCATCTTCATTTTCTTTTCCTCAGAACCTTATGTTCCAGTACTACTCAACTTGAGGATTCTTAATGGTGCTGCTCTTCCCTTTGCTGCCGTAGACCTGTCTCAGGCTGGACAAGAACAGTAGGATGAGGGTAGAGACTCTGTACTGGTATCTGACAGGATCCTATGATCTGACCAAGACTTCAGAGCCTGTCTTTGCTAGTTATGGGATTAAGCAGCCCCTGTAGCTCACCAATTTATAGGACTGGGCCAGTGGAGGAAAGCATTTGCGGGTGGAACTTTAACAACAAAGCAAGGGAACAGGAAGGGCTACAACTGGAATGTAATTGAAACAGCTCTCCCAGAACTAATGAGCTGCCCTGGCTTCTCTGCTGGCCTGCTATGAGGGAGTAATAGGGCTCCAGAAGCTTGTTTAAAATGCTGTATGCAGAGGGCTACACAAAGCAGGTTTTGATCGTATATTTCAACCTGCAGAACAGGACATTTCAACTCAGAAACTGTATTTTAAAAGTCAGGAGATTTCTAGGAAGGGGCTACAGAAGTTCTGTTTTCCATGCCTCTACTTTGGATCCCCATTTAATATCCTCGCAAAGTCAGGGACATTTCAGTGTTGCTTTCCCCTGGGTACATTGAGGCAGACAAACACATTGTCTTTCCCTGGAGGAAACTCTTCAGTACCATACATTTAACACAGCGATGTGCCCTGTTTTCTAAGCACAGTGTCTTCTTAGAACCAATTGGCAGTTCTTTTCTTTATTCTATAGAGTGCTTAACAAAAGTTAAATCCAGTTTCCAAGGGTAGCAAGACCCCCGGGGCACAACTGGAGAGGTCTGGAGGGGAAGGGAGTCGTCTGCTATGACTATCAAAGGGCCTTGATTCCTATTTTTCTCCCTTTAAGAAAAAAAATTTGCACCCTTAATCTTAAAATATGAAGTTTCAATATTTGGGAATTTTTTAATTGAATAGAATTGTTGGCTGACAATTGGGTAGCAGATCTTCCAAGGCTGCAGCGATGCCTGTGTAGACTCCGTGAAGTGGCTGCTCACTCCTTCCTTATTTGGGCTCTCACCATGATGACCCCTGGCCTGTCATCCTTAGCACATTGACCTTGACCGTTTTGTGGAAAGGAGACTACCCGAGCACCCGATAAAAACCACACACTATTGGGTTATTGGCATTTGGGGCGGGCCAGTTCTTTATGGGGTAGCCATGTCTTGTATATTGCAGCATGCTTAGCACTGCTGGTCCGCAGCCCCTAAGTGCCTGTAGTACCCCCCGTCAATGTGTGCATGGGGCAGAAATGCCCCAGACACTTCTGATGGTCGCTAGAGGGCTGTCTACAAGGGAGCAGATAGGGTAGGGCAGGATGGGTCTCTCACAAGGACACTGGACCCAAGGAGTTTGAATTCCAGCTGAGATTCTGCTGTGGAGTAGACAGCCTGGGGCCAGGCTGGGTCTGTGTAGAGGAAGGGGTACCTTTGCAGTGTGCACTGGGAGGCTCTGTGGGTTCGCTCTGCCCCTGGCCATCACCCCTGGCTACAGACTGTTGCTGGAGACCCTTTCCCCAGCAAAGCACACCAATGCGGGTTCACAGGCATTTAACATTCGACTTCCTACTGCTTCTGGGCTGGCCCAGTGCAGTGCCTGGCATGAAGCAGGTGCTCAGGGCATGTCTGTTGACTGAGTGAAATGAATGAAGCCTACCTGTGGTTTTGTCAGGGTCCAAAGATCCTTGGTGATGAAAACTCTTGCTCGGTTCCCAGAGGCACGCACTTCCCTTTGTTTGTATCACCTCTATCTAGAAGCCTTTTCAATCTTGCTCTAATGCTTGAGGTACGGCCAGGGAGGTTCAGGCTGTGAGAGTCTATTGACGTAGACTCAAAGCAGGAGAGTGAAGGAGAGAATCAACTATCAGGGCCCTGGGAACCTGGAAATTCAATTTTTTTTTCCTTCAAAGCCACAGCCTACACTTCCTGGTTGTAAGATTTCAGTCTCCACTTTTTCCCACCCACTGCTCTGTTTTCTTCCATTCAAATTCTCATGTCTTCCTTACCTTCTTAATATGACATTTTGGAATTATTTTCTCTTTTCAGAGCTTGGACTAAATGAAGAATTCCTGATGGTCCCTTTGTTTTCTTGTTTGCTGGCAGGTGGGATAGAATCAGGATTGGTACTACCAGGATTCATGGTTTTCTTTCCTCTTTCTTTGGTACAGAACTTACGTGTTCTTTTTTTCATTAGTTCATTTGTTCATTCATACTTCATGGAGCCAACTGCTCTCCTTGGCTGAATCCAATTAGTGAACTTGGTCTCTGCCTTCACTAAGCCCAGGAAGAGACAGACATGTAAAACCAACAATTACACAGTAATTACAAATAGTCATCCTGCTATTTTGGATACTTGTTTTCTTTTATAGTGTCCAGAGGGTGGTTACAGTTGTCTAGAAAAGAATCCAATCGTTAGGCCTGGGATCCTCCTCTTTGTAGGAATTTTATCTTTTTTTTTGGAGCAATCAGTGTTATTTGAGCACATCAAATTCAGCCTTATTGAGAGTGAGATGGTTTCTTCCTTTATTAACCCTTTATTAACCCATGTACTTTGGACTGTGCTATATGGCTCAGGATGATACTACAAATGTTCCCTTTTCATGAATATTTCCTGTGTGTGTGACCTTGACTGTTGAATGTGGGCTTTCCAGTGTGTGTGTGTGTAGTGTGTGTGTGTATGTGTGTGTGTGTGTATACATTTCCTTCTCAATAGAACTGATTATTTTTGCATGTAAGAGATGAAATCACCTATTGATTTCACAAACCATCTGAGCCCTGTGCTCTTTTTTCCTGAAATTCTATGGGAAAATGAAAGGTAATTATGCATTGGAAGCACACACTAATAACATGCTTGTGGGTGGGGAGGCGTGATTGCAACATGGAATTGGCATTCCTGCTGGTCCTTGTCTTTGAATTTTCGCTACTGAAATATTTGAGATACTCCAGGTAAGCCTTATAATCACCGGGAGTTTTTTGTTTTAAAGCAGCATCAGTGTTTCTGAAACTCATGGGATGGCCTTCCATTCTACTGAACATTGGCAAGGTCCTTTTTAGAATATGTGTTGAATTTCATATACCTGAAGGCACAACAACAGGCTTGGAAATGCTTCAGTGAACACTGGTTCAAATCCAGGGCTGGGACTGGGCGCAGTGACTCATGCCTGTAATCCCAGCACTTTGGGAGGCCAAGGTGCGTGGATCACTTGAGAGGAGGAATTCAAGAGCAGCCTGGCCAACATGGCGAAACCCCATTTTTTTTTTATCTCTACCAAAAATAAAAATAAAAGTTAGCTGGGCATGGTGGTGTGCGCCTGTAGTCCCACCTACTCGGGAGGCTGAGGCAGGAGAACTGCTTGCACCCAGGAGGTGGAGGTTGCTGTGAGCTAAGATCACACCACTGCACTCCAGCCTGGGCGACAGAGGGAGACTCTGTCTCAGTAAATAAATAAAACAAATCCAGGACTGGGCAACCGGACATTGTCATCTGTAAGAGGCATTTTCTTTCACAGCTCTGTGTCTGGTGCTGTTCAAATCAGGGTAGTGGTCTCTTTTATTCAGTAATTCCCGTGCAAGGTCACGTGGGGCATTTATCTGTGAACAGAAGACTTTGAGTCTGCTTCTCACCTCAGCTTGATCCCCAGGTGTCCCCCTGGGGTCAGGAGCAGAAAGGGCCACTAAGGCCTACCAGTGCCTGTGAGCTCCATTCTGAGGTGCTCGGGAATCCCTTTTTGGGGTCAAAGATAACAACTAATTAAAACGTAATAAAGCTGGTATGTGAACAAACACGGCAGAACTCATCTGGCAAACGAGATTGGGCTCCCTGGAAATGGTCAACTTGGAATGATGGCATTATTCAAAAGACTTATGGAAGTCTCTTAGAAGGCTTCTCAGGGCTGGTTTATAATCAAGTTTAAAAACAAAGGCAATCTTATGTTTTTCTGGATGGACATCATTTTAGCAACAACAGCAACATCCCCAGAAAAAATATCTTCCCCCAAAACATTCAAAGCAATTACTCCGAAGTCAGAGGAGCCTCCAGTCATTTTTCCCTGAGGGGCAAAAAGGACTTCACAAGACAAACACAATCCCTGATATTGCATTTTCAGACATTTTCTCATGTCCATTTGGCCTTTGTGGCTTTAGCTGACTTTCTTTTGGTCTCTGGAGCCAACAAGGTTAGGTGAGAGGCTACAGTAAGAATGCAGTGAGAAGAGAGATGAGAACAAACTCACTCTCTACATATTTGTCATTCAAAGCATGGCTGGTTAAAAGGAAATTATGATTTGATTTTTTAAAATTTCATTGTTAATACTTTCACTGTTAGATGGCTCACAAAGATGATGGAATTTACTCAAAAGTTGAAGAAGCATTTATATGGAACCAATTGAGCTCTATGTCTCCTTCCCAGGAAAGATGAGGATTTAAAAGCCTGAGGGCTCACATGGGACCCCAGGCATATTCCTTGCATTAGATTGTGTATTGCTAAGAGTTTAAGCATTGATTTCAGTTGTCTGGGTGGAACAGGCTGCTTAAGTCAGCTTTGCCTCACAGCAAGGAAACCTCAAATCTCAGTGGTTTGCCATCCTGAAGGTTTATTTTGCTTCCAAATAACATGCAGGCTGCAGGTTGGCTGTATCTCTGTCACATTGTTTTCTCCTTCTGGATTCCAGGCTGAAACAGCAGCCCCTGTGGCCATGTGCAATGTCATGGTGGAGGGGAAGAATTAGAGAATTGGTGGAAACTCATGACGTCCTTGAAGAATTCTGCTTGGATGTGGAGTGTTCACATCCATTCACATTCTGTTGCTTAACAAATCATATGGCAAAGTCTGACATTGTACAGGGAAGTATGCTTGGCCAATAGGCAGGTACTGCAATTCCAGGTGGGGACATAAACATCTACTAAGGGGAGGGAGACATGAATAATTGTGAATAGAGTAGGCCTTCTGCATCCGTGGTGAGGAACACACAGATATGAAGAGCTGGCTCAAGGGACTTGATCAGCAGATCTTGGTATCTGTGGGAGGGAGGAGGTATCCCTACGGATACCAAGGGATGACTGTATAATACAGTCTGCTACAGTCTTCCCTCCTGGTCATAAATAATCATCTTATATATCATTTTGTATATTTATATACGACATAAATTCATTTCTGACTCATGGAAGATACCTAAAAATTCGCATGTAATCATGGAATCAGGTGTGAATTTCAGGATCTCATGAGATTCTATCAGCAGGTCTGGATTTAGTTGCTGTTCATCTAGAGAGCTGTGAACCAAAATAAGTGACCTGGTCCACATGTCCGTCGTGGAAGAACAGGAATAGGCCAACCCCAGTGAGCACTTGTATTTCAAAAGAGAAAGAAGCGCATCCACATGGCCATCCTGAAATTCCACTGGACAGCATGAGAGGCCCACCTGCCTTGGGATAGGGAATTCTCCTCAAATGAGAAGCTCTCAAATCCATTGTTCTCTATGGCTTTTTTTTTTTTTTTTTTTTGAAATGGAGTCTCACTCTGTCACCCAGGCTGGAGTGCAGTGGCACAATCTCGGCTCACTGCAACCTCTGACTCCCAGGTTCAAGTGTTTCTCTGGCCTCAGCCTCCCGAGCAGCTGGGACTACAGGTGCACGCCACCATGCCTGGCTAATTTTTGTATTTGTAGTAGAGACGGGGTTTCACTATGTTGGCCAGGCTGGTCTCGAACTCCTGACCTCGTGATCCACCCGCCTTGGCCTCCCAAGGTGCTGGGATTACAGGTGTGAGCCACCGTGCCTGGCCTCTCTCTGACTTTTGACTTCTCCCTCTGGGAGATTTTTCCTTTTTGATCATCCTGTTCGGACACACCTGAAAAAGTATTAGAGAATATATCTTCATTGGGGACTTGGTAGCTTTCTCAGGCTACTTCCTGCTTATAGCAATTTGGGGTGCCAAAAGTTGTTTTAGGTCCCCTGTGGTCACAGTCTCTTTTAGACCAGGCTGGTGTCTCTTTTGGGGATATCATTCATGCTAAACAATGATCAATTTTTATTTCCATTTGATTTTAGTTACTCCCTGGGCCAGTAGCCACACCTACACCTCTTTTGAGGTAACTATTTACCAGACATATCTCTCCTTCTGGATTTAATTACAGGCCACTTTGAGCTTATCAGGTTTCTGTGAGACCATGTCACTAATCACTTTTCCTGTAGCAATTTTGCTCAACTAAAAGGATTTACTAGGGTTAGGGTAGGGCGAGGTGGGGGTGTCTTAATTCCTTTAGAGACTTTAACGTGCCCTTAGTTTTGTCTGTGTCCTGAGGCTAGGTCTTAATCATCTTTCCTTAAAAAAAAAAAAAAAATTTTTTTTTTTTTTTTTGAGACGGGGTCTCACTCTGTCACCCATGCTGGAGTGCAGTGGTGCCATTTGGCTCACTGCAGCCTTGATAGCCCGGGCTCAAGTGATCCTCCCACCTCAGCTTCCCTAGTACCTGGGATTACAGGCACACGCCACTGTGCCTGGGTAATTTTTAAAAATTTGTTGTAGCGACAAGTCTTCGCCATATTGTTTGGGCTGGTCTTGAACTCCTGGGCTCAAAAGATCAGCCCGCCTCAGCCTCCCAGAGTGTTGGGATTATAGGTGTGAGCCACTGCGTCTGGCCCATTTTTTTTCTTTATTTATAGGAGATGAGAAATCATTGTATCTTGCAATTGTTAAGTCCCAAATTTCCTAATTTTCTTTTTTTCCCGCCTCAATCCTATTGGAAAACCAGCTAACTCTTTTCTGAGCTCGTCTCTTTATTGTAGTACTTCGTCAAATGGACCTAATAGTAACCAAATCCCCCTAGCAATGTTCTGTTTTGCGACCTTGTCACCTAAAGCTACACATTCGTTCATTGCAACTCCTGCCTTCGAAGTGATCACAGGGGCAGTTTTACTAAATGTGTTACTGCTGGATCACGGGTCACTATTTCTCTATCCTGTAGTGACAGTTTCCATACCTTTCACTGCCCAGCTCCAAAGCTTATGCCTTGTATTTTATCTGTTATGGCATATCCCACTTCTGGTACTAATTTTTTGCATGCAATCCCACATCTCAGTGGCTCTTTGTATATATGCAGGCTGCAGGCCATGGTTCTGCTTCATATGCATTGTAATTCTGAGACTCAGGGCCAGTCCACATTGGCCATACCTGTTTATGATACTCCTTAAAACTCCTGCTTGGATGTAGTGAGCTTCACATCCACTGGGTCCTATTGGCCCATGCAACTCACATGTCCAACCCTGACCATGGGGCAGGGTGGTCCATAGCCCCACACAGTGTATGACATTGTGCAGGGATGTATAAGTCTTACAGCAAAGGGGAGGATTGAGTAATTGTAAACAGCTATTACAATCTACCACTAGGCTTGTTCAGTGTTAGATAGAAAATGACAAGAAAGAGCTGACTGATAAGATAAAATCACACCCAAATCACCATACAAAGCAAAATTGGGGAGAGTGTGGGGAGAGGGGGTTTCGTATTTTCTGTGTGTTTTTTTTTTTTTTTTTTTTTTTTTTTTTTGAGAAGGAGTCCCACTCTATCACCCAGGCTGGTGGCGCACTCTCAGCTCACTGCAACCTCCGCCTCCCGGGTTCAAGGAATTCTCGTGCCTCAGCCTCCCGAGTAGCGGGGACTACAGGTGTGCACCACCACACCTGGATAATTTTTGTGTTTTTAATAGATATGGGGTTTTGCCATGTTGGCCAGGCTGGTCTCAAACTCTTGACCTTAAGTGATCTGGCCACCTCAGCCTCCCAAAGTGCTGGGATTATAGGCATGAGCCACCATGCCTGACCAGGGTTTAGTGTTTTCTTGGGGTGATTTCTTTCTGGTTCTCTCCTGGCAGTAGTTCTACTCATTGAGCTCCTTAAAAGCTCCTTAGGGAAGTGGCAGCATATCCTGTTTGTGAAGACATCCAGTGAAATGGTTATTTTTATTCCTCGAGGCCTCTTTCTTCTCACCCTGTAGCATGTGCACACATGTGCTTATGCACACATCTCAACCCCAACCTTCCAGGACCTGCTTTCGTCAATCCTTTGATAATAGGGATGTGTTTTAACATTGACAAGGAATCATGCACCTTTTGTTCCTAAGTTCCCCTTTCAACACAGAGCACTATATGTTCTGGATCATTAACTTCCACTTAAGTAGTTTATTGAAGTGAGAGGGAGCTATAAAGTAGGTGAAAGAGCAGAGGCTCCTTAGAATAATAAATGTGAAACTGTCTTCGGGAGATTTGGAAGTTTGTTTGAAGGATTGCTCCAGACACAAGCTGGGTGCTTCTGTGATCATTTGATACCCAACTCTCATTACCTGTCTGTAGCTTGATTGTTTAGAGGTTCTTGTTCTGTACTTCGTTATAAGGTCTGCCGATGTGGGAGCCATATCTTTGCTGGGAGGTGGTGTGCTGGTGTGGAGGCTTTCAGACAGACCTAGGTTGGAACTCACCTTGGAATTCTGGCTTTGTCTTCATTTGTAATTATAATTGAATAATAACATTTTTCACACTAGGACTCAGATAACATATGTAAAGGGACTAGCAACAGAGCTTGACATATACTGTTATTTGTAGCTTCTAAGCCTCACATCGTTTTGCATTTTTAGCATCTCTGAAATTAGCATTTGCCTTACAACCAATGGCATGTCATAGCGGAACTGACATGCTGCATAAAATAACGCTGTGTCTTGGAATTGTTGGTGTCTTAGAATTTGGTGAGATATGGTAATAGGCACTTAATAAATGGATATAAGTGGAAATAAAAGGAATTAGGGCATTCTTGTGTAAGTTAGCGTTCCTCTAACATTTCGATCAGGGGCTATTTTGAGAAGCTGGTGAAAGTTATGGATCTTTATTCCAGCAATATGCATATTCCTGCAAAATTCTGCATATGATTTCAGCATTTCATAGAATGTCCTCAGGCTCTTCCTTAGGCCCAGTCTCTTGGGAGAAGGCACAGATGTCATGCATTCTTCATACTATAATTATTCTTTGCTTTTCTTTTTCTTTTTCTCCTCTCCACTCTGATCTGCTCACTGAGGCATGCTTTAGGTTGTAGCTGTTTTCATTTTCTAGGAAATATAATAGTCTTTCTGTGACAAGTGTTCACCCTACTAGTCCCATTCACTTTCCTTGCCCTCACTGTCTTCTGATTCAGTATCACCAGTTGATCCCCCCGTGGAAGAACTCTCGCCTTCGGTGTCACACTCTCCAAATCCTGACCCTAAGTGCAGCATCAGCAGCAGGTTCTCGTGAAGCATAGTCCTATGGTTTGTTAAGCCAGGTCATGGGAAGGAGCAAGATGCTGGGCTTGTGTTCTTACTTTTTCATTCATTTCATGCAGTTACCAAATTCTTAAGTGTTTCCTGGCACATTCTAGGCACTGCACATTACTGTAGTAGCCAGCCTATCAACCAACCAACCGAACAAACAAATGCAAGAATAAGAACAAGAAATGAAAGTCCCCTCTCATAGAGAGCCGACATTCCAGTGGAGGAGACAGAGAATGAGTTCTAAATGAGCAAAATACATAGTGCGTTAGATGGTGTTGACTGCTAAGGAGAAAGAAACAGCAGATAAGGGGGTAAGACGTATGCATGTGTGTATGGGGTGTAGATGTTGTAGAGGGGGTGGGAAGTGTGCATGTTTGTATGGGGTGTAGTTATAGATAGGGTGGGAAGTGTGCATGTGTGTATGGGGTGTAGGTGTTGTAGAGGGGGTGGGAAGTATGCGTGTGTGTATGGGGTGTAGTTGTAGAGGGGGTGGGAAGTGTGTGTATGGGGTGTAGGTGTTGTAAGGGGGTGAGAAGTGTGTTTGTGTATAGGGTGTACATGGTGTAAGGGGGTAGGAGGTGTGTGTGTGTGTATGGGGTGTAGTTGTAGAGGGGGTGGGAAGAGGGTGTGTGTGTATGGGGTTTAAGTGTTGTAAATTTAGGGAGCATGGTTAGGGAACATCTGAGAAGGTGGCATTTCTATAAGGACCTGAAGCAGGTGAAGGACCAAACCAGGCAGATATTTGGGGAGAAGAGCATTCCAGGTGGAAGGCCCAGCAGGTGTCACTGCCTGGAGGTGGGGCAGAGCTGGCATGTTCAAGAAGAGTCAGAAAGAGGGGTTGCCCAAGCAGAGAATGGTAGAAGAGGAAGGGGGAAATAAAATGGTAGCCAGCTTGCACAAGCCTTCAGAAGTCCTAGTAAGATCCTGGCTTTTGTGCTGAGGCTTCCCGTTTGAACGTGACCTGACTTCAGTTTAAAGAGGATCACCCTGGCTGTTGTGTTGGGATAGATTGCAGCAGGGAGGACATTTTCCCTTATCCCCCTGTTGAATTTCCACTTATGTCTAAAGTGGTTCTGGCCGTGTTTGGTGGACAGAGAAATCATAAATTTATTAAATGTTTAGCGAAAGCACAAAAAGAGGAGCCCTTTTGAAAACGGCCACACCAGCCGAATCTATTGAAACTGCAGTTTCTCCCAAAAGAGAAAGCAACCCAAGCTCTAGCTGGCAGTCCATTGATCTCAAACATCATTCAGGCAATGAATTTCCGCAGTAATAAAGGCATTCGAAGAAGTCCTTGAAATTCATTGTGACCACGTTTGTGCTTGTCCACCCGGCTCTCCGAAAGTGAATTCCAGCCAGAGCCTGTGGTCCTAGCAGGGCACTGGGGTTAACCAGAGCATCAGAGATGCAGCTGTGGTGGCCGTGCTGCCCGACCACCCTGGCAGCTCTGTCTCCACCCCACGCGGGGTCATCATCACAGGCAGAGGGTTCTGGCTTCTCTTCCCTTGGGTTTCCTTCTTTTTTTCTTTTTTTTTTTTTTTTGACGGACTCTCCCTCTGTCGCCCAGTCTGGAGTGCGGTGGCACGATCTCGGCTCACTGCAAGCTCCACCTCCCGGGTTCTCGCCATTCTCCTGCCTCAGCCCCCCGAGTAGCTGGGACTACAGGCGCCCGCCACCACGCCCGGTTCCCTTGGGTTTTCAATTCCTCACCTTCTCTTTACTTCTGGGAAGCAGATCAATTTCTCAGCTCCCCACATGCTAGGTATCATCAAAAGCCCCTCTACGCTATTCATCGTTGTTGCTGTGGTCCAAGTTCTCTCCCTTTCTCTTCCCTGTCTCTTTCTTCACCTTTATGATCATGGTAAAGTGGTTTGCTTGGTTATTTCTGTTTTTTTGTTTTTCCAAATGGCTTACCCATTTCCTATTCTATAGCTTTATTATTATTATTATTATCAGCAAGAGTGGGCAGAGACTGTCTTTCGGCACACTCTTCTATGCCCCAACTTTTCAAGATCATGCTGTGGCACATTAACAAATGTATAACCATGCTCCAGAATGAATCACGTGGAGAGGCAAATTTTATTAAACCAGGTTTGGAGGTCCGAATTGGGTTATGAGCGTGATTTATTTTTATTTTATTTTATTTTTTGAGACAGAGTCTCACTGGGTCACCCAGGCTGGAGTGCAGTGGTGCAATCTTGGCTCACTGCAACCTCAGCCTCCCCTGTTCAAGCAGTTCTCCTGCCTCAGCCTCCTGAGTAGTTGGGATTATGGGTACATACCACCACGCCCAGCTAATTTTTGTATTTTTAGTAGAGATGGGGTTTCACCATGTTGGCCAGGCTGATCTCAAACTCCTGACCTCAAGTGATCTACCCACCTCAACCCCCAAAGTGCTGGGATTACAAGCTTGAGCCACTGTGCCCAGCCTCGAGCATGATTTATAAGGCTGGCCGGGGGCCCTTCTTTCTTTGGGTTTGAGGTGCTCCGCAGGCTGACTGTTGCTGGATTATAAATGTGTTTTATAACAGTTATTTGTCATCTGTGCAGCACAAGCCAAAGGCAGAGTTTTGGGAAAGCTGGGGCCAGTTGAGAGGGACATTCTTTCCTTCCTTTTACCCTTCTTCTGATGCTGGTTGTAATAGACTCACTTTCCTCCCAACATTTCCTGAGAGCACTGTCTTGCGCCAGGGCTCTGGCTGAGACTGGGTGGGTGCAAGGTGTGAATCAGGGACATTAGGAGTTTAAGTGGACCTTGGAAATCATCATCCAGTTCAGTGCTCTTTTCTTTTTTCTTTTTTGGAGATGGAGTTTCACGCTTGTCGCCCAGGCTGGAGTGCAATGGTGCGATCTTGGCTCACTGCAACCTCCACCTCCCGGGTTCAAGCGATTCTCCTGCCTCAGACTCCTGAGTAGTTGGGATTACAGGCATGTGCCACCACTCCTGGCTAATTTTTATATTTTTGGTAGAGACAAGGTTTCATCATGTTGGCCTGGCTGGTCTCGGACTCCTGACCTCAGGAGATCCACCCGCCTCGGCCTCCCAAAGTGCTGGGATTACAGGCGTGAGCCACCACGCCTAGCCAGCTCAGTGCTCTTACATTACAGGTAAGGACAATGAGTCCTGTAGAGGAGAGATAATAAGCACCAGATGGCCCACGAATCTCGTAAGTTCAGCTCGTTAGGTTGCACCCTGGTCTTTTTGTTCTGCCCCTGGCAGGTAACAGTGCCGATGAGGTGAGGTCTTTGGATCCCATTAGTTTCATTCTGTTCCTTGGCCACCTATAGCACCTAACCCCTCACCTCATCAGAGACCTTCCTGCTGTAGGTAGCTGGTGGTCACAGAGGAGATGGAGTCTGTTCAGATGAATCAGCTCAAGAATGTCTTCTGGAGAAAACAACGCAGCTCCTTCACTCATTAATCCTGACCTACTGATAATAACTCAGTTGGACACTTAGCATGTTAGATATTTACATCACAGTGGTTCCTGCCCACTTTTATTTTGTACACAGCCCAATAAAGAGCAGCCAGTGGATTTCCATGACGTCCACATGTCACAAGGGCCCTAGTTAAATTGTCAGGCAAATGAAATTTTTTTCTTGGAATGTCTCCTCCCTCCTCTTGTCCATCTTTTTCCATTTCTAGACATTTCAGTGTCTTGCATGCTGCTTGCTGGCTGTGTATATCTCCCCTGTTAGCTGCTCTGTTGAGAAGTGGTCATGCTCTTTGTCCCTCACATGCTCCAGGTGTTCCCAAATCCCCCCTCACTTCTTCCCTCTAGTGATTTTCCCCAACTCGCAGTTTCCTCCCAACTCCATTTAGGTAGGAGCATTTTGCCGCGAGATAAATCCCAGAGAGCAGGGATCCAGCCTTCCTTGCCTTTGAATCCACAGCCCAGACACAGTGCTTGGCGCCTGACAGATGCTTAGCAAATGCTGGGAAAGCAGAATGATTTCAGGGCCCAACCCCGGAAGTGGAGAAGAGAGAAGTGGAGAAGAGAGTGTGTGTTAACCACGTGTGTGCATCTTGAGTTGGCAGGTGATGGGAAACAGCTGTGTTTGTTATGAACTGGCATTGGTATCTCAATGGAATGTGGACCTATTCTTCCCCCGCTGGGTGTCCTTTTACCAAGCGGTGGACCACTTCCTATCTGGTCACTGAAGATAGAGTGGTCATCCCCCAGTAAATCATGACGTTTGTACTGGTCCATTCCTTTCTGTTACCCTCTCCAACTTCCTTTTAATTTGCAAATGTTTTCAGAAGTGTATGAATTGCATCACAGTCTTAATTAAAGTCTCCCTATGTGTGTGGAACGTGTGGGTATTCCTAGCTTGAGCTTGAGTCTGCTAGAGGGATTCAGCCCTGTCTGGGCATGTTTGGTCAATGAGTTGGGTGGGCTTGCCATGAATTGAGGTGCGGAGGGAGATGGGGAAGCCTTTTGGGAGAGTCCTTGCCTGGTAAAGAGGAATAGGGTATATATGGACCCAGGAATGTGGCTTCAGTGGCCAGAGGAAGGCTGGGATGTATCTCTCGAACTTGGCCACTGGTGCAGTTTTGACTGTTGGGTTCCTGCCCAAGTACTAAGGCCAGGATGGTTGGGGGGCAGGGGAAGAGAGGGTTTGTGAAACAGAAGGAGGATGTAGGCCTGGTGGTCCTACAGTGACATCCTGGAAAAGTGGCAGCAGTGCCCAGCTGCTGCCATGGTAACAGCTGGGTGTGGCTGCCTCCCATTCAGAAGAGGACCATAATAGACATGGAAGGGACCGCGTGCAATGGACTTTGATGAACTCCTGGGACTGGCCCTGAGGACTCCCAGCTGTGCTCATTGGAGGAACCGTGTAAGAGCCTGCCCGAGCCAGTGTGGCAAGAGTTAGGGCTGTATGGTTTCATTTATGCTTAAGGTGATCAAATAGTGGTTTAAGGTCTCTTTTTTCCCTCTTGACAGAAGGTTTCAAGTTTGTGTGTTTGTGTGTACAGATATATGTGTGTGCATGTGTAACGTGCCTGTGTGTGCGCGCATTTCACTGCTGTGAGGGCAGCTCACAATGTCGTGTCTTGGAGGTGAATGCAGTGCTGAGATTAATGGAGTGCTCAAATGCAGTGAACTCCAGCATTTGCTCATTAATTGAGCAGAAGTTCTCTTTGTTCCAAAAGATGGAGCAGCTCCACACACAATCCCTTCTTGTAAAACAAAAGGCCAGATCTCCTTTGTGTACTCGAGTATTACTGGGTACGGCCAGACGTGTGGATGTGTGTTTCAGTAGATGGCACCAGACTTTGGCATATGGTTGTGTGGGTGTAGGTGGCTGGTTTCTATTTACATGAAAAGAAAGCGAAGGTTCCCTAAAAATGTCTACTTAGCAGACTTTTGAAAAAATGGATTCGGGGACATTTCACTTCATAGCAGTCACAAAGGTGTGAATATAGGAGCTACTGGATGTGAGCTGCTCCAGGCTGACGAGGCGTGGGACCATCTGGGCCCCTGGTTTGTGGTTATTGTCAGACTGGCTCGGCTTTCGCCCACTGCCAGGATTCCCAAGGTGCTAGCATATGAGCTAAACACCCGATGACAGGTAGCAGGGGAAAGGCTGGAGAAAGGCCAGCACGGTTGGGATTGGGAGTGGGATGTCTCACTTGTATCCACATGATTTTAATTTATGGAGGTGAGGATGTATGAGTTGCATTTCCCAAGAGAAGGGGGCACACTGCCATGTCATGCCAGGCCCACGTTGTACCACACAGGCCACAGGAAAGCACCAGGAAGCAGAAGAGTGAGGGGAAAGCCGGGACTAGAGCCTTTGTTGGGATTTTCTCAGGAAAAGCGAGGCAGGGCAGGGTAACAATTAGGTAAAGCATTAAAACGAGCTAGTTTGAACAATTCTGGTGGGCTACAGGGGTGTCCCTAGTTGACTGGTACCTGGGCCTGGGTGGATGGTGGGCGAGAGAAATAGTGTCCCGGTGTGAGCATTTGATAAGGAGGTGGTTGGCTAGCACAGGAGAGGCATCTTCAGAATAAGCTGTTTCCTCTCTTGAGGAGTTACCTAGCCCTGGGACAGGCAGTCTCCCCCTGGGTCTGTAACATGATTAATACGTGGGGTGGGTATGACAACAGGTTCTCAAGGTTGGGTACAACTGAGATACCCGGGAGGCTCCGGTCAGGACAGCGAACATCCATGAATAAAAAGAAAATCCATTTTTTCCCAATGAAAAACAAAGTGGCCCCAGCCTGTGCCACTAAAGCAGAAACAGGGGAATGACTTGATTGGCAAAAACCAAAATCAAAACCAAAAACCACCGCAAACAAAAGGCACAGATATTCAATTTTATTTATTTATTTATTTATGAGACAGAGTCTGGCTCTGTCGCCCAGGCTGGAGTGCAGTGGTGCCATCTCAGCTCACTGCAACCTCCGCCTCCCGAGTTCAAGTGATTCTCCTGCCTCAGCCTTCCAAGTAACTGGGATTATAGGAGTCTGTCACCACATCTGGCTAATTTTTGTATTTTTAGTAGCCATGTTGGCCAGGCTGGTCTTGAACCCCTGACCTCAGGTGATCTGCCCACCTCGACCTCCCAAAGTGCTGGGAATGCAGACGTGAGCCACTGCACCCGGCCTATTCAACGTTTTATACAACTGTCCCTCAGTACCTATGGGGTATTAGTTCCAGGACCCTGTGGATACCGAAATCTGCAGATGCACCAGTCCTTGATGGAAAATGGCATCATATTTACATATAACCTATATGCACATCCTCCCATATTCTTTCAGTCATCTCTAGGTTACTTATCATACCTAATACTATATCACTGCTATATAAGTAGTTATATTGTTTCTTATTTGTATTATTTTTATTATTGTATTGTTATTTTGTATTCTTTTTTCTTTTTTTTTTCCCCCGAGATGGAGTCTCGCTCTGTCGTCCAGGCTGGAGTATAGTGGCACGATCTCGTCTCACTGCAAGCTCTGCCTCCCGGGTTCATGCCATTCTTCTGCCTCAGCCTCCCGAGTAGCTGGGACTACAGGTGCCCGCCACCGTGCCTGGCTAACTTTTTGTATTTTTGGTAGAGACAGGGTTTCACCATGTTAGCCAGGATGGTCTTGATCTCCTGATCTCAGGTGATCCACCCACCTCGGCCTCCCAAAGTGCTGGGATTACAGGCGTGAGTCACCACGCATCACCACACCCAGCCTTTTTTTTTCTTTCAATTATTTTAAATTCATGGTAGGTTGAATCTGTGGGTTCCGACTCAGAGGGCCAACTGTATGTGGATTTCTTTTTCTTTGGCAACTGCATATTTTAACTTTCTGATGCTGATATTCAGAATTTTTGACATTTAAAAATTACCGTTGTCAATGGGAACTGGAGATGTTTGAAGAATATAGAACAGAAGATTATTCTGTTGCATGCAGACTGAGATACAGAGTCTATCAGATACCCTGGTTCTCTGATAAAAGAAGTATCTTGATTTCTGGAGAACTAGCAGATAACCCCACCATGCCACAGAGGGTCTTCATGTCAAGTTCATGGTCCGCAACCTCAGAGGAGCCTTGGGCGAGTCCTCAGACCTCTAACATACACTTGCTGTGCTCTCATTTGTTTCCCACGGTGATTAGTCCAAATCTCTACCTCTCTCCCCCTACCCCCTACTTCATCCTTATCCTTTAGGCCTTTCCTTCTCAACAGATGATGTCATCTCTTATTTCACTGAGCAAACTGGGTATCCCAGGAGGAGACTCCATCCACTTCCTGCCCCCTTGCCAAAAATGTATCTTGATTTTTCCTTCCTCTTTACTTCCTGGCTGCCTGCCTTCAAGGAAGTCAGGTCCCTCCCTTTCTCCAGGATTAATTTCTCCAGCTCATTCTTGATTTTGTCCCTGTCTCTCCAGGGAGCTTGCCTCCATGATTAGCTTCATCCTTTGTTCCACTTATGACAGTGTCCGCTGTGTCGACTTCTTTCATTCAGCTTATAAAGATGCCCAAGGCTTCCCATTTAAAAAAATTAAAAAAGGATTTTTTTTTTTGCCCCTACACCCTCCAATTTCTTTCCTCCTGCCCTCTTACCTCCTATCTAACTTTCTCTAGTCTACACCAGTATATAATATGGCATATTATATTCTGGACATTTGGCATTCAGAGTATAAATCAGGACTTTTTAGAAATTGCTGGAAACATCAGGATTGTTTTATTCCTACTTTAATACCCAAGCATATTTAAAAAAGCAGAAATGGTATATATTTTGCTACCGTCCTGACACCACATCTGGGGAAAGCTCTTGGGGTTCAGCTGTCTCTCGAGTCAGCACTCTTGAGCCGATTGCCAATGGAGCAAGAGGGATGGGGAGAAGGTCAAAGAAGGGGGCGCAGCTCAGGGTCTGGGCAAGGAGATGAGCAAGTAGGGCTGGGGTGTAAGATCATGCCAATTGCTGACATTTTGATTCCATCTTCTGCCTTCTCCATGTCAGCTTGTCCTTGGCACAGGCAGGACCAAGTGAGATGCTCTGCTCTGGTCGATGCTTCTGGTCCGGTGTTTCCTCCTCACCCCCGTACCCTCAGGTTCTCCTCCGTCAGCCTACTGAAGTTGCCACCATTAAGGATCCTGTCTTGCACCTTTAATGACCTTGAGCTTGGTGTGGTGGCAGGCTCCCAGCTCTTTGGGAGGCTGAGGTGGGAAAATCACTTGAGCCCAGGAATTCAAGGCTGCAGAAAGCTGTGATCATGCCACTGCACTCCAGCCTGGGTAGCGGCTCAAGACCCCCATCACTTAAAAAAAAAAAAAAAAGATATTGTCCTAAGAATGTAAATAATGTTAACAGCCACTTTCTCTTCTGACTTGGGGCACCACCTTCTCCAGATTCCCCTGTTGCCTTGAGGTCTTCTGTGTGTGGCTTCTGTTGTAATGCCTCCTGCTTGGTGGGGACTGCACTAGGTCCTCTGTAGACATCGTGAAGTTCCAGCTCTCCAGGCTTCTGCAGGGTCCATATCATAGGATTGGACTGGCTAGAGATGAGGAGATTGGGGCTCAGAGAGGCTTACTTAGCTGCTCATTTATTAGCTAGAAAAACCAGAGGTTAAACCCAGGTCTGGCTCTCTTCAAACCTCCTCCTTTTCCTTGGTGTTGGCACGCTCCTTGGGTAACATCTTTCATGCCTGCAGCACCAATGCCCACCAGGAGTGTGCCTGTGCATCCCAAATCCCATCACGTTGCTCAGAACGCCTTCTTGAGCACCAGCCCTGCATTTTCAACTGCTTGTTAGAAATTTCCAAACTGGGCCAGGCTGCAGTGGCTCACGCCTGTAATCCCAGCACTTCGGGAGGCCAAGGCGGGCAGATCACCTGAGGTTGGAAGTTCAAGACCAGCCTGGCCAACATGGTGAAACCCCATCTCTACTAAAAATACAAAAATTAACCGGACATGGTGATGTGTGCCTGTAATTCCAGCTACTCGGGAGGCTGAGGTGGTAGAATTGCTTGAACCCGGGAGGCAGAGGTTGCAGTGAGCTGAGATCACACCATTGTACTCCAGCCTGGGCTCAGAATGGTTGAGGTGGGGTTTGGTTTTGTTTGATGTGCTCAGGGTGGTCTTCACAGAAGAATCAGAATCAGACTGCCTCTCCTAGGAAGGACAGAAGATTGCCTGGGCGAGCGGAAGGAGAACGAGGAGGCTGACAGGAAAAGGGAGGTCGGGAGGGTAAGGGCACTCCAGACAGGACCCAGCAAACTACAGAGATGCAGATGTGAGGGAGACCACGAGATGTGTAAAAAGAGAACGTTTTTGTGTAAAGTTTTTTTTTTTTAAATTATACTTTAAGTTTTAGGGTACATGTGCACAACGTGCAGGTTTGTTATATATGTATACATGTGCCGTGTTGGTGTGCTGCACCCATTAACTCGTCATTTAACATTAGGTATATCTCCTAATGCTATCCTTCCCCCCTTCCTCCACCCCACAACAGGCCCCGGTGTGTGATGTTCCCCTTCCTGTGTCCAAGTGTTCTCATTGTTCAATTCCCACCTATGAGTGTTTTAAAAAACTGGTTCATCTCTAAATCCGTATGGTGGAGGCAGCGATATTATTTTATTTTATGTGTACAGGGAAGGTCTATTTATAAAGGTGTGATTACTCTGTTACTTGTTTTATAAGTGGGTTTTAATATGTATTAAGCAAGAAAAAAGAACCTATACTGAGTTGTGAGTAGAAGTCCCACGGAGGTTCTGGGCAAAGTGTGGTGCTATGGTTGGTATTATTCTGATGCAAAGAACACTCTTTTTTTTTTTTTTTTTTTTTTGAGGTGGAGTCTTGCTCTGTTGCCCAGGCTGGAGTACAGTGGTGTGATCTTGGCTCACTGCAACCTCTGCCTTCTGGGTTCACGTGACTCTCCTGCCTCAGCCTCCTGAGTAGCTGGGATTAAAGGTGCCTGCCATCACGCCCGGCTATTTTTTATATTTTTAGTAGAGATGAGGTTTCACCATGTTGGCCAGGATGGTCTTGAACTCCTGGCCTGAAGTGATCTGCCTGCCTTGGCCTCCCAAAGTATTGGGATTACAGCCATGAGTCACTGTGCCCAGCCTTTTTTTTTTTTTTTTTTTTTGAGACGGAGTCTTGCTCTGTTGCCCAGGATGGGGTGCAGTGACACGATCTCTGCTCACTGCAACTTCCATCTCCCAGGTTCAAGCGATTCTCGCACCTCAGCCTCCTGAGTAGCTGGGATTATAGGCGCATGCCACCACGCCTGGCTAATTTTTGTATTTTTAGTAGAGATGGGGTTTCACAACGTTGGCCACGCTGGTCTCAAACTTCTGACCTCAAGAGATCTGCCTGCCTCAGCCTCCCAAAGTGCTGGGATTACAGGCACGGGCCACCGCACCCGGTTTCTTTTACTTTTTTAAAAAAATAATTTCAACTTTTATTTTAGATTCAGGAGATACATATGCATGTTTGTTATATGAGTATATCATGTGATACTCACTGAGGGGTATGAATGACCCCACCACCCAGATAGGGAGCGTAGTACCCAACAGGTAGTTTTTCAGCCCTTCCCACCTCCCCTCTTCGTAATATCAGCCTTGGCAAACAACTTACGACTAAAAATGTTGTGATAGAATTGAGGAGATCTGGGTTCCAGTCCAACCTTCTGCTGTAACTGCTATAGAAAGTTGAGGAGGCCGGGTGCGGTGGCTCACACCTGTAATCCCAACACTTTGGGAGGCCGAGGTGGGTGGATCATGAGGTGAGGAGATCGAGACCATCCTGGCTAACACGGTGAAACCCCGTCTCTACTAAAAAAATACAAAAAAAAAAAGTAGCCGGGCGTAATGGCGGGCGCCTGGAGTCCCAGCTACTCGGGAGGCTGAAGCAGGAGAATGGCGTGAACGCGGGAAGCGGAGGTTGCAGTGAGCCGAGATCACGCCACTGCACTCCAGCCTGGGCAACAGAGCGAGACTCCGTCTCAAAAAAAAAAAAAGAAAAAAGAAAAAAAAGAAAGAAAGACAGTTGAGCAAACTGGCTCTGCAAGCCTCTGTTTCCTGATTGGTGAGTGAGGACTTTGGCATAAATCAACAATTCTTCACCTTGGCAGATACAGCCCTGTTGGGAACCTGTGGAAGCTGAGGATCCTCTTCCCTAACAAAAAGACACAAATAGACAGTTCTTTTTTTTCCTTAGGATTTTGGACAGTTCCTGAATGTCTGAAGCCCAGCTTAAGAACCCCTGGACCAGTTCTTTCTTCGTAATTTTCCAGTTTGCTTTCTCCAGAGCGTGTTGCATGGAGACCCGTCTGATGGGTGCTAATAATGAGTGGTCAAGTGAGCTTGGAAAATGGGATTCAAGTCAATGTGTTTCTGAAGTGCAAGACCCCTCTAAGGTTAATTTGCTAACAGGCAACGTGACTCTCCCCAGAATCGCATTCTTCATACCTACTGGACCAGTTAGAATTTTCCAGAATGGGTGGGATGCAATGGCTGACGCCTGTAATCTCAACACTTTGGGAGGCCAAGGTGGGAGGATCGCTTGAGCCCAGGAGGTTGAGGCCACAGTGAGCCATAACTGCCCCACTTTACTCCAGCCTCGGTGACAGAACAAGACTCTGACTCCCAAAAAACAACAAAACAAAAAGATTTTTCCAGAATGCACTCTGAGGCAACCTGCTCTTAGGAAACGGTTCTCTGAGATTATTTCTGTTGTCTGAAAGGTATGGTTTTGAGATACCTCTGTTTAGCTTTGGGGTTCCGTTTGAATGTGGATGTTGTTGGTTAATCTTTATATCCTGTGAGATGACCAGGCTTGGCTCCCGTGCCTTGGAGAGGGAGTGGAAACATCCCTGGTCATAGTATAAGATCTGGAACCTTCTCTGGCCAGCATCCTTGTTTGACTGGGGAGATACAGTCATGCGTCAGCGTGGGGCAGTTAAAGGTAATTTCTACCCATCCAATTGGGATTTGCCACCCTGGCAGTTTGGGGTGAAGGCCTCACCCATATAATGACACCATGCTGGGGTCCTTTGCCCTCTGGTATTTGGCATGCACCTAGCATCACCCCTACAGCATGCCCGTCTCCTCCCTTACTGACTGGTGGTCACCCCATGGGCTGTAGACGCTTCCTCAGAATCCTCCTAAAGAAACCCATCCGCCTCGATGGCCTGTGTGACCTGTTTTCATGGAGAACCAGCCTGGCAAGCCGGGGCTCTCTGGACAGTTCTCCTGCCCTTGGCAGAGACGGCACGGTAGTGTCCTGTCGCAAGTCACATAGTGTCTTGGTCAGATGCAGCCGTGTTGTTTTGGCCCCGAAGTGGCCAGCCTGGCCCTGTGTGTGTGGCTAGCAGGTTGCAGCAGCGATTTGAAGGAGGCTGTAAGACTTTACCTACCCCCAAAATCTCTCTCCCAGGATTGCTCCCTGCCACCAAAAGAATACTGATAAAATATTCTTTATCTGAGAAAAAGTGGAGGCCCCCAGCCTCAACCCATTCACACCTGTGGATTTATTAGGCTGGCTGGTTAACATCCCAGGAGGCAGAGAGCACCTGGCCTGGACGCTGGCTAAAGAAGCCTTGGGTTTCAGTGAGGACGGCCACTGAAGGGACGGGCCCTGGATGCCAGAACATAGCCTGATGTCTCACTTGTGGCACATGCAGAATAAAGGGACATTCAGGGAGAAGGAGGAACTAAGGCCTACATCATAGAAGGCTTGGAGTGCTCCCATGAGAAGACAAGAGCCAAGCTGTAAATAAGTGATGTATCTGTCCTCTCCTCTGTGCCCTGCCCCTGCTCACCTCAACACACTCTACCCCTTCCCACGTCCAGGAACGACCTGTCTCCTCCTTCCACTTCTCCCCTACGCCCCGCTTTGGTGACTGCCCCATGCTGTGCACCGCAGTCTGTGGCGTGGGATATGGGTGCAGACTGTTTCCCTGCAGAGTTCTGTGGGTTTCATGTGTCATGTGGTTGTTGGCTTTATCTGCAGTAGGAGGTTCTGCATGGACCCATTTAAGGGGAATGGAACTGGATCACCTGAGTGGAGTGGGATGGAGGTGGGCTGGAGTAAGGAGCAGTTGACTCTGTTTGTTGTTTCTGGGGAGGAAAGCGAGAAAGGATGACTATTTCAGAACTTCTGTGAGGCAGGAAGATCTTTCAGGTTCCCACTTAAGTTCTGCCCGCTCCACATGGGCAGGAGGTCTCATACCATCTTCCTGATTCACTCATTTATTTTTGTTTGTTTGTTTGAGTTGGAGTCTCGCTCCGTCACTCTGTCACGTGGACTGGAGTGCCATGGTGTGATATCGGCTCACTGCAATCTCCGCCTCCTGGGTTCAAGTGATTCTTGTGCCTCAGCCTCCCGAGTAGCTGGGATTATAGGCACGTGCCACTGTGCCTGGCTAATTTTTGTATTTTTAGTAGAGACAGGGTTTCATCATGTTGGCCAGGCTGGTCTCGAACTCCTGAGCTCAAATGATGCGCCCGCCTCGGCCTCCCGAAGTGCAGGTATTACAGTTCTGAGCCCCCGCACCCAGCGCGTGACTCATTCATTTCTGATGGTGTTTTCCTTGTGCTCTCCAGCAGGACAGGAAGAGATATGAGCAGGAGGGACTCGCTGTGTGAAAACACAGGAAATATCTCACTGCTTCCTAAATGCCAGCTCTCTCTTCCCACTTATCTCCTCTGGTGATTGTGGGACTTTAATCAGCCCATTTTCCTTCTTCTGGGATGGTCAGTGCCTTATGCTTTAGTGGAATTGGCTGTTGGAGCCTTCCAGGAAGGAGCAGATGCTTTGATTAGGCAGCCCTGATCTCCGGTGCAAGAGCTGGCCCAGGAGCACTGCTGGCAGGATTTGTGACTTGAAGGGTGGTCTCCATGTTCTCGTACACTTTAACAAGGCAGGTTTCCAGGTGAGTGTAAGCAGGTGGAAGATAAGACACATCATAGTGATCTATGAAGTTTGCTGTCCAGGGAAAGCATCATTTGAAACCTAAGTGTATTTTGATTTTGGGCCTTTAATCGGATTTGTTTAAGGAAATTCTGCCAGTGGATGTTATGCTGATTTGTCCATTAAAGCCCTGTTTCATTAAACAAGGTCTGTTTCAGGTGAGTTGCCTTCTGTCATCAGTTGGAGTCAGGAGGATTCAGTGTATATCTCTCACAGCAAGGCAGGCCAGCTGAAATACCCTTGGCCTAGGCATCATTCCAGGTGCTGGGTCAGGAGTTGCCTGCATCCACCTCCCCAGCTCTCTGTGCCAGCACTTGTCCACTGTTTCCAACTGTGTGCACAGACCCAGCCAAGCCCCGTTCTGGTTTTGGGTAGGAAGGAAGCCCAGGAGGAAACACTGCCTGCAAAGGCACAGGTGTCCTTCTCACCCGTGGTGCCCACGTCTCTCAATCCTGACTATTTTAGACTCCTTGGCCTGGCTTCCTGGCCATTTGTGGCTCAGACCTCTGGCTGACTTCCTCCTCTTCTCCCGTGGACTCCTGAATGGGGTCTGGTCACCTGGCCGCAGCCAGTTTCTCATCTG
The DNA here is from genome assembly GCF_000001405.40 of Homo sapiens. Lineage (NCBI taxonomy): Eukaryota > Metazoa > Chordata > Mammalia > Primates > Hominidae > Homo > Homo sapiens. The sequence goes on along the minus strand of NT_187616.1, from coordinate 79,233 downwards.
CTTTCCTTTGCCATTGTGGAGCTCCTTGGATCTGCCCTCTCTCCCATGTGACTTGTAGGAACTTTTGAGGTGTTGTCTAACCAGACTCCTCATTCTGGCCCTTTTGCTCTACTCTAGCTCGTTGTGAACCCAAAAGAGCGTCAAGAGTTGGGGTCCTCTTTGGCCGAGTGTGGTGGCTCACGCCTGTAATCCCAGCACTTTGGGAGGCCAAGGCAGGCGGATCAGGAGGTCAGGAGACTGAGACCATCCTGGCTAACACAGTGAAACCCCATCTCTACTAAATATACAAAACATTAGCCGGGCGTGGTGGCGGGCGCCTGTAGTCCCAGCTACTCAGGAGGCTGAGGCAGGAGAATGGCGTGAACCCGGGAGGCGGAGCTTGCAGTGAGCTGAGATCACGCCACTGTACTCTAGCCTGGGCGACAGAGCGAGACTCTGTCTCAAAAAAAAAAAAAGAGTTGAGTTCTTCTTCATGCCAGGAGTGGCAGTTGCAGGGGTCAGGGTTGACAGTAGATGTTGGGTAGAGCCCACGAGGTTAAGGCTGCCGTGAGCTGAGATTGCGCCACTGCACTCCAGCCTGGGTGACCAAGAGAGACCTTGTCTTCTTTTTTTTTTTAGAGACAGAGTCTTGCTCTGTCACCCAGGCTGGAGTGCAGTGGTGAGATCTTGGCTTACTGCAACCTCCGTCCCCCAGGTTCAAGCAGTTCTTCTGCCTCAGCCTCCCAAATAGCTGTGATTACAGGCATGTGCCACCACACCTGGGTAATTTTTTGTGTATTTAGTAGAGATGGGGTTTTACCATGTTGGCCAGGCGGGTCTGGAACTCCTGACTTCAGGTGATCCGCCTGCCTTGGCCTCCCAAATTGCTGGGAGTACAGGTGTGAGCCACTGTGCCTGGCCTAGACACTATTTAAAAAAAAAAAAAAATAGGAAACAGAAACAGAATCCATCCAGCCACAAAGCACTGCTATTTTCATACTGGTCATTCTCCAGGAGAATCATGGCCTGTGCTATCTTTTTTTTTTTTTTTTTTTTTTTTTTGAGATGGAGTCTCGCTGTGTTGCCCAGGCTGGAGTGCAGTGGTGCGATCTCAGCTCACTGCAAGCTCCGCTTCCCGGGTTCATGCCATTCTTCTGCCTCAGCCTCCCAAGTAGCTGGGACTACAGGTGCCCGCCACCTCGCCTGGCTAATGTTTTGTATATTTAGTAGAGACGGGGTTTCACCATGTTCGCCAGGATGGTCTCGATCTCCTGACCTCGTGATCCGCCTGCCTCGGCCTCCCAAAGTGCTGGGATTACAGGCGTGAGCCACTGTGCCCAGCCGTGCTATCTTTTCTTGAGTAAAGAAATCCCTGCTGATGGGACTGGTGAGCTTTTCCAGGAGGGGGAAAGGTTCTGTAATGCAGCCATGCCCTCCTGCCCACCTTCGGGGACCACATTTGTGAGAGAATCACTTATATCACAAGGCTTTTCATGCCTATGAAGTAATTCTCGCTCTGAGATCCTGAATCCCTTGGCCCGTCAGTGCCACCTGAGAAGGAAAGAAACAAACCGGGGCCCAGTTAGAGCCCAGAGGGTTCCTCAGGCCAACTCAGGATTCCTTCAGTGGCAAAGGCCTGGGGTGCTCTGGGACCTTCCTTGTTGCTGCGAGGCGAGCCCTCCCTTCACCACATTCCTCAGAGTGGCCCTGCACCTGCTCAGAGTGGCTGTGTCTAGGTGACAGACTCTTGCCATGCAGACCAGAGTGAAGCTGATAGGATTTGCTTTGTCACCACCAAAGAGTGTCTGTGGCCGCTCTTCCTTATTTTGGACACTGTATGGTGAAAATTCAGTGGAGACTGAACGTGTTGGGTTCCTTTGCCTGAAATGCCCTTCCCCTTTATTACTGGAAAATCGTCCCCAGGCTTCCAACTCTGGGCTCACCTCTTTTTGTTTTTTTAGAGATAGAGTCTCACTGTGTTGTCCAGGCTGCTCTCGAACTCCTGGGCTCTCGAACTCACATGTTCCTCCTTCCTCAGCCTCCCAAGTAGCTGGGACTGCACGTGTGTGCCACCGCGCCCGGCTTGGGCTCACCGCTTTTGAGGGAGTGTCCTCTGTCACTGCAGTTTCTGTGTCATCTGCCCTCCCTAGCAGTAATGACTACTGAGGAAGGAGGCCCTAGCTGTGTTTTCATCTCAGGGTTCCCATGTATACAGCACAGTGCCTGGCCCATGTGGAGTGAGTGACCAGCATCTGTTCCCGTCTTCAGCACTATTAAGAGTTTTAGCAGGAGGGTGCAGACTTTTTTTCCTGCCCAGGAGCTCACTTGCTCCTGTTATGCATATAGCAGGGTGAGAGGGAGGTGGGGCATGGTTTTAGGGCAAGGGCAGTTGAGTTTTCCGGTTCTGGGAGGAGGCTGGTTATTGAGACCTCAGGATATTTTGTCTCCCAGTCCTCTAGGCAGACAGACCTTCCTAGACAAATAAAAAGACCAATCAAGCCCGATTACTTTGAAAAATTCACATTGATTTCCTCCATTATCTTCTCTCTCCACCTCCCCCTTCAAATTTAATGAACAAAACTAGGAAGATAAATGACCTGGTGCTCATGGGCTGTGAGACTTTGTGTCTGCTCATTACCCGGGGGCTTGGCTGCCCCTCTGTGCTCTGGCTGGGGCCTCTACGGTCACAGTGCTGCAAATAAACCTTTGAGAGAGTCACAGTGGCTGGACCTATTGCAAGAGGTCACTACAGAGCGTGAGCAACTTTGATTATTTTTCTTATGTCTGAATCGGGGTCTTAGGAACTAGCGAGTATTATAGATGGAGTTGTGCCTCAGAGAGACCCAGCATCAGGGGCTGCAATGGGCTTTTGTTGTTGAAGATCCATCCAAGAAGAAGAACTTGTTTTTCCTTTGGCCCTTTCTTGTTTATTTTGATGGAATTTCTTTTTTTTTTTTTTTTTTCTTTTCGAGACAGAGTCTTGCTCTGTTGCCCAGGCTGGAGTGCAGTGCCCTGATCTTGGATCACTGCATCCTCTGCCTCCCAGGTTCAAATAGTTCTCCTGCTTCAGTTCCTCAAGTAGCTGGGATTACAGGCTCCTGCCACCACGCCCTGCTAATTTTTTGTATTTTTGGTAGAGACGGGGTTTCATCATTTGGTCAGGCTGGTCTCAACTCCTGACCTCAGGTGATCCACTTACCTTGGCCTCCCAAAGTGTTGGGATTACAGGCATGAGCCGCCGAGCCCGGCCTATTTCAATGGAATTTCTTAATGACTTTTTTTTCTAACTACAATTTATCATCTTTGACTAAGAAGAACAAAAAACAAAATAATTCTGAGTTTCCCTTATTTGCAAGGCAAGATCCACTCTATAATAGTTCTGTAATGGTGCTGGAAAAAGGCCTTGGGACTGAGTGTTCCTCCTGGGCAGAGGGGTACCCACTGGAAGAAACCAGAGGGGTACCCACTGGTTGTTAAGCTAATTGTACACCTGGTTTACCTCCACCAGCTGCATGTTAAGCCTATTGTTTCCCTTGCTGGTTTTCAAAGTATGTCCGGTTATTCTATCTATAGATATTTGCTCTTGGCATGCTGGTATGGACCAGCCATCTCTTTGTTGATTTGTTTATTCATTTATTCTTCGCTTAGCAACTGCATTCATTTCCTATGGAGTAGTTTGCTGTTAACAAATTACTACAAACTTGGAAGACTTAAAACCGTAGAGATTTATTTTCTCAGGGAGACCATCGGTCTGAAATCATGGCGTCAGTAGGGCCACCCATGCTCCCTCTGAAGGCTCAAGGAGAGAATCCTTACTTGCCTCTTCCTAGTGTCTGGTAGCCCCAGCTATTTTTAGCATTCCTTGGCTTGTAGCCGCATCACTCCAGTCTCTGCTTTTGATGTCGCCTGGCCTCTGTGTGTCCTCTCCTCTTCCTTTTTTTTTTTTCCTTTTTATTTTTTTTGGAGACAGAGCTTCGCTCTTATTACCCAGGCTGGAGTGCAATGGCATGATCTCGGATCACCACAACCTCCACCTCCCAGGTTTAAGCGATTATCCTGCCTCAGCCTCCGGAGTAGCTGGGATTACAGGCGTGTGCCACCACGCCTGGCTAATTTTGTATTTTTAGTAGAGACGGGGTTTTACCATGTTGGCCAGGCTGGTCTCGAACTCTCGACCTCAGGTAATCCACCCGCCTCGGCCTTTCAAAGTGCTGGGATTACAGGTGTGAGCCACTGTGCCCGGCCTCTCCTCTTCTTATAAGGATACCATCACTGGCTTTGAGGCCCACCCCAATCCAAGATGGCCTTATCTTTATGACCTCTGCAAAGACCCTGTTTCCTGTTCCCCAGGGAGGCCCTAGCTGTGTCTTTATCTCAGGGCCCCATGCATGCAGCACAGTGCCAACATAGGTTGGGTGAGCCACCAGCATCTGTTCCCATAATCAACCCTGTTAAGAGTCTTAGCAGTGTTGAAGAGCAGAATTCAGAATCTTAGAGGGGACCCCATTCAACTCACTGCCACTGGTGTTTATGCAAAAGCTTAATGGGTGTTAGGCATTCTGCTGTCTGCTGGGAATATATTTAATTCTAGTGTGCACTGGCGGACATGGCCCTGCCCTCCTAGAACTTGTAGTCTGCTGGGGAAGACAGTGGTGAATCTTCACACAAATATCCAGTTATAGTCCAAACCCGAGCCTCTCTCCTGTGGTCTGCCTTCCCGGCCCATCCAGGTGGGTGTTTTCATCTGTACCGTACCCAAATCTCTACTTCTTATGTACGGAGACAGGACACACCTGATTTTATATGTTTGCTCAGAGCTCAAGAGGGCAGGGCTCTGTTGCCAGTCCCTGCCTTCCACCCACAACCCACGCCTCTAATTGTCTTAGGATTTAACACTGAGCCACACACTGACTATCTCCAGGATGCAGTGGGCCTTCGCCTCAGCAGGGGCCTGTGGGTCAATGAGCAAAGCCCTTTTCCTGGAGTAGAGACGTCCATCACTTCCCATGCGCTCCAGCTCCCGCAGTCCAGGCCCCTGCAGTGGAATTCCAGCTGCCGAGGCCACCTCATTGCCTTTTGGCATTCGTTTTCATAAATCTACCAGGAGAAATATTTCTCTCTGACTTCACTTGGACACGATTTTTCAGTTTAACAGCATTGCTGATATTCTGATGGGTTTCCTCAGCGTTGCAACCTCCTGCAACATAATCCTTCTGGAGGGCAGCATCGTGTTTTTTTTTCGTGTTTTTTTTTTGTTGTTTGTTTGTTTGTTTCCCTCTAATAGGCACAGGCATGCAGGTGACCTTTTGAAGCTCGAATTTTGTTTCAGAAAAGGAAGATGCTAAAAACAAGGACCCTCACTGTGCTGTCGCCTGTGAGATGCTGAACTCTGTAATTGCTGCTGTTTCATGATTAGTGTCTGCTTTCCCAGCACAGTGACTCGGAAACACCTGCAGCATGGATGCCGTTGTTTGTTGTTGTTGCATTAATAACTGCAGATGCTGTTGAAGTGCTCACCCATCAATCATTCCTAGTTACTTACCACTATTTCCTCTGCCCTGGAGGGCGCGCCTGCCCCCCTCACAAATCCCTTTGCCCCCACTCTTTCCCTCTTGCAGTAAGGTCTCCACCCAGCAGTCAGTGACTGTAAAAGTGCAAATCAGATTGTGTCAGAGCCAAGTCCAAGGACCTAACCATAGACTTCCAGGATCAGGGTCCTGGCTGCCCCTCTGGACTCATTTACTGTCACCCCAGCCCGCCCCCTTCATTCCTCTTTCTCTTCCTCACTGGCCTCCTTGCAGATCCTCATACATCCTCATAATCCTGCATCCTCATAATCCTGGCACCCTCCTTCTCAGAACCCTGATGCCTGCCCTTCCTTCCCTCCAGATACCCCCACGACTTGTTCCTCCTTTGTTGACATCCTTGCTCAAATGGTATCTCTCTGGGAAGTGAGCTCCTTCTCCCAAAGGCCACTTTCCATCTCCTTGCCTTGCTGTCTTTTTCTTTCTTTCTTTCTTTCTTTCTTTCTTTCTTTCTTTCTTTCTTTCTTTCTTTCTTTCTTTCTTTCTTTCTTTCTTTTCTTTCTTTCTTTTTCTTTCTTTCTTTCTTTTCTTTCTTTCTTTTTCTTTCTTTCTTTTCTCTTTCTCTTTCTCTCTTTCTCTCTCTCTCTTTCTTTCTTTCTCTTTCTCTCTCTCTTTCTCTCTCTCTCTCTTTCTCTCTCTCTCTCTTTCTCTCTCTCTCTCTTTCTTTCTCTCTCTCTCTCTCTTTCTTTTTTCAGAATCTTGTTGTGTCACCCAGGCTGGAATATAGTGGTGTGATCTCGGCTCACTGCAACCTCCACCTCCCAGGCTCACACAATTCTCCTGCCTCAGCCTCCCAGGTAGCTGGGATTACAGGCACCTGCCCCCACGCCCGGCTAACTTTTGTATTTTTAGTAGAGACGGGGTTTCGCCATTTTGGCCAGGCTGTCCTCAAACTCGTGACCTCAAGTGATCCGTCCACCTTGGCCTCCCAAAGTGCTGGGATTACAGGCATGAGCCACCGTGCCCGGCCCCTGCTGTCGTTCTCTCCCTCAGCATTCTGCTACATGAGTTTTTCCTTGCTGCTGTCTCCTTTCCCCAGTTCGTTGATTTGCCCATTGCTATAATCCTGATGATGAGAATAGCACTTTATAAGTGGTGAATGTGGCCGGAGAGGAATTGTGGTGTTAGAGTAATGAGGGGAAATGAGACAGGCCATCAAGTCTATCCGACCCTTGCCTTTCCATAAGATTCCTTCGCTCCCCACTTCAAATGATGATGAAACACAAAGAAAATGGGACTTAAGAGGGTAAAAAAACAATGTAAATAATTACGATTGTTGGTTTCAGGATAGGAAATTTAAAGTGGGCTTCAGTCTGTAGTTGGGTTTGGCAGGTGGACTCCTTAGGGCCTTTTTTCTTACCCTGTATTTCCACCCCAGCAAGAGTGGTGGCAGGGGAGGGGCAAGGTGGGGTACAGCAGGGGCTTGGGGTGGGGGTTGCTGCTGGGGAAATGGAGCTGCCCTTTTACCGAGCCTGGAGACCTGGGCAGGATCTAGCCCAGGCATCCTTCAGCGCAGCACAGCTAATGTCCACCTCTGAAAGTCATCACGTTTTCTTTTGTTCCTATTTGGGTTTATTAAGAGCCAGCGGAGTTCCTGCATAAAGCTTAGGAGAGTGCAGCCGAATTACTTGGGCTGATGGGGGTCGGTCAAGTGGCTTTTACTTAAACAGTTCTGAACACTTGGCACCCACTTCAGGCTGAGTCTTGCATAGTCCCCGAAGGGTCTCCTCCTGCTCCAGCAAGAGCATCTGCTTCCTCTTGGCAGTCGCCTCCCTGAGCAACTGCTGCAGGGGAAAGAGTGAGGGTTCTGAAGTCAGGAGACGTGGGTTCTTGACCTGGTTCTGCCGCTGCAGAAAAGAAAAGAGAACCAGGGTGGTGTTATGTATGTGCACGTGTGTGCACATTTTGCATAATGTATGAATATCTATATGAGTGTCTACGTGAGTGTATATGCACAATGCATGTATACATGTATGTGCATGCATATATGTGTGCATGCCCATGTATGCACTGTGTATATGCATGTGCTTGCATGTGTGTATGACTGGGTGTGTGTGTCTTTTTTTTTCTCTGACAAGCTGAAGAGTTTTCAATGAAATCAGAATCCCTGCCTCTATGTCACAGCAGAAGTTTTTCACCATTTGTTTCACTAAGATTCTTGGGTCTGGTCCTGTTCAGGGGAGAAGCCCAGAAATTCATGCCTTCCCTCCTCTGGGGACCAGCTGGGGGCTGTTCTAAAGTGCTAACATGGTCAACAATACATTTCCTCCCCAGTAGCAGCGGTATAGCTGAGTGGATGCGCCGGGAGGCCTGAAGCGTCCTGATCAATTCTCTGTGTTGCTCATGAACTCGGATGCTCCAGCCCCTTGAGGAGCTCCCAGTGTATCCTTATGTCTTTGGGGGCGGCCAGTTGAAAAACAAGCATTTCCTTCCACGTGTCTATGTGCGCAGGTATCTTTCCACCATCTGTCCACTGGAACTGGTCTTACTGAGGTGGCCCCCAAATTGCCAGATGCACCAGACACTTTTTGGTGCCTTATTAGATTTCCTGCTGCATTCAGTTCACTTGGCTCTTCCCCCTTCTCTTCATCCTGGGCTTTACTGGTGACACTTTGTTCCTGTTTCTCCCCATCTCCTTCCTGACTGGGGTTTTTCCAGACTCTCCTACGTTTCTGTGGATCCTGTTCCCCCAGCCGTCCTGTACCTGTTGCTTTTACCCCTTCCTCCAGGTCTCACCTTCCACCCCTCTTCTCTTGGGTAATCTTTTCTCTGTGAGATACTTTAACTACCCTCAGTATACCACTGACTCCCAACTCTGGGTCAGCCGCCCACACTTCTTTTAGAACTCCACACCGAATTCCCTTGCCGCCTGTTTTTGTTTTTGTTTTTGTTTTCCCTCTAATAGGCACAGGCATGCAGGTTAGCTTTTGAAGCTTGGATTTTGTTTCAGAAAAGGAAGAGGCTAAAAACCAGGACCCTCACTATGCTGTCGCTTATGAGATGCTGAACTCACAAGGATCCTGACATCACCATGATATTAGACTTTCTTCAAACTCAGCTCATCCCAAACTCAACCCATCGGCTCCTCCTAAACCCGTTGCCTCTCTGGCATTTCTTCTGAATTAGGGGTACCAACGTTCAACTACTTATCTCAAGCCCCAAACACTTGGCTCTGCTGTACAGTAGAACTTTCTGTAATAATAGAAAAGTTCTGTTTGTACCATCCAGTACAGATGCCACTAGCTTCACATGTCTATCAAGCCCCGAAGTGTGGCTAGTGCAAGCTGAGTTCATTTCAATTTTAACATGTTTTAATGAGGTTATATTAGATGACTGCATGTGGCTTGTGGTTCTCATATTAGACAGCACAGTGCAGATGGCTTCCTTTTCCCACCTCCGATGTCCAGCAGGTCACTGTCTGTCCCCACTGGGGTCCTCTCAGTTCAGGCCTTCATCATCTCTGCCATGAATTACTACAGGAGCTCCCAAATTGGTTTCCATGCTTCCTGGTCCTTTCCAAATTTCTGTTGTTGGAGTGCTCTCACTCACCCTTGAGGACTTTTCTGTTTTTCTGTTTGTTTTTTTTTTTTTTTTTTTGAGACAGAGTCTTACTCTGTCGCCCAGCCTGGAGTGCAGTGGCATGATCTTGGCTCACTGCAACCTCCACCTCCTGGATTCATGTGATTCTCCTGCCTCAGCCTCCCGAGTAGCTGGGATTATAGGTGCCCGCCACCACGCCCAGCTAATTTTTGTATTTTTAGTAGAGATGGGGTTTCTCCATGTTGGTCAGGCTGGTCTTGAACTCCTGAGACCTCAGGTGATCCGCCTGACTCGGCCTCCCCAAATGCTGGGATTACAGGTGTGAGCCACCGCACCTGGCTGTGAGGACTTTTCTTAAGCGTCATTTCCCATGTCCCTTTCCCTCACTCCCTGGTACAGGCAAAATTGAGCATTTTCTCATCTGTGTTTCTCTTCCTACTTCTGTCATTACAATGAACAAATGTGTTATAAATATTATTAAAAATAGATGTGCATCCCCCTCTGTGAACTCTTTGAGGAAGAACAGCCTTGGTCTTTCTTCATCTTTCGGTACGCTGTTGGGGTACAGCACTAACAAATGTTTACTGAGTGAATAAAGGATTAATGTAGGCCGGGTGCAGTGACTCATGCCTGTAATCCCAGCACTTTCGGAGGCTGAGGCGGGCAGATCACTTGAGGTCAAGAGTTCAAGACCAGCCTTGCCAACATGGTGAAACCCTGTCTCTACTAAAAATAGAAAAATTAGCCGGGTGTGGTGGCAGGCATCTGTAATCCCAGTTACTCAGGAGGTTGAGGCACGAGAATCACTTGAACCTGGGAGGTGGAGGTTGCAGTGAGCCAAGATTGCACCACTGAACTCCAGCCTGGGTGACAGAGCGAGACTCTGTCTCAAAAAAAAAAAAAAAAAAAAAAAAAAAGGATTAATGTGAACAATCCCCAAATGTTCTCTTTTTGGTTTTAGATTACGTTATACATTTTTGAAAATTTGTTGTAAAAATCCTATCTATTACAAAAATCATATAACCAGAATGCCGTTTTCATAGTAATATAAAATAACTTAAATTCCCTGAAGACTATTGAGTTTAAGATACTGAATCATACATATGCACACCAAAAAAAAAGATTAAAAATAATCTTTAATAGGGCCTTGGGATTATGTGCACTTTATTAAGCGCTAATTCTTTCAAAATTGGCCATTTGTGTATGATCTATATTAGCAATTTTCATTTAACTACAGTATTTGGTTAAATAAAATACCCCTTTCCAACTATTCTTCACAGAGAAGGAGTTTATTGAACATTCTCAACTAGAGTTTTGCTGAAAGTAATGGAATTTTCTTTCCTTGAACTCAAAGAATAGAAAATAGAAAATTGAAAAAGAGAAAAATAGAGAACTCACTATGGATGGTGGAGAACTGGCAGCTCAGATGTTTGCTTCCCTTTAGGGTAAGGGTGGCAGAGGCTCTTCTTGATATAAACAGCATGTTTAGAGGGTCTTCATTCCATTTAGTGGGATTTTTTTTTTTTTTTGAGACAGAGTTTTTGCTCTTGTTGCCCAGGCTGGAATGCAATGGCACTATCTCAGCTCACTGCAACCTCCGCTTCCTGGGTTCAAGCAATTCTCCCGCCTCAGCCTCCCATGTAGCTGGGATTACAGGCATGCACCAGCATGCCCAGCTGATTTTTGTGTTTTTAGTAGAGATGAGGTTTCACCATGTTGGCCAGGATGGTCTCGAACTCTTGACCTCAGGTGATCCTCCCACCTTGGCCTCCCAAATTGCTGGGATTACAGGTGTGAGCCCGCGCACCCAGCCATTTATTTGGTTCTCAAAGCAGGATAGGGCTGTTTTCTTCTTCCTGTGCACTAACATCTCAGGAATGATTTTCCAAGCTGCCTTCTCCCATCGCACCAACCCTGCTGCCTCCCAGCCTTCCCTGCCCGCTGCCTGTTCTGTCACATCCCACCTCATCCCTACCAATGCGACTAGCACCCACCAATGCGACTAGCACCCACCAATGCAACTAGCAATAGCTACCTTGAAGTAACCAAAGAAACATTCTTCTGTTTTAAGTTAATCAATGAAGCAAATCAGTTTCTGCGTTAGTTTCTGGGGAAACAGTGGAGAGGAGGATGAACACTGCCCTACCTTCACAGCACCACCCTGGTCAGTTCCTGCTGCTTATAGGATCACATAGAAAGACGGTCTCCCAGTCCACCTTCAGCCCACCATCCCTGGGTGCATCTTCTACAGCACCATCTCTCTAGGCCCACACTGAAATTGACCACTCCACTGGAGATGTTTCTCCCATTGCCTAGCAACCTCCCAGGTCTTATTCAATACTTAGATTAATTATTCCCCTCTCTGAAACGTTTCTGACTCATTCAGGTTGAGGTACTGGCTCCTTCTAGGTTCCCTCTAGAATTTTTTTTTTTTTTTTTTGAGACAGGGTCTTGCTCTGTTGCTCAGGCTGGAGAACAGTGGCATGATCTCAGCTCACTGCAACCTCTACCTCTTGTGTTCAATTGATTCTCCTGCCTCAGCCTCCCAAGTAGCTGGAAATACAGGTGCGTGCCACCACACCCGGCTAATTTTTTTTTTTTTTTTTTTTTAGTAGGGATGAGGTTTCACCATGTTAGCCAGGATGGTCTCCTGACCTCGTGATCTGCCCACCTCAGCCTCCCAAAGTGCTGCGATTACAGGCATGAGTCACCGTCCCTGGCCTTTTTTTTTTTTTTTTTTTTTTTTTTTGAGACAGAGTCTCACTCTGTTGCCAGGCTGGAGTGCAGTGATACCATACTGGTGTGCTGCAACCTCCGCTTCCTGGGCTCAAGTGATTCTCATGCCTCAGCCTCCAGAGTAGCTGGGATTACAGGCATGCGCCACCACGCACAGCTAATTTTTGTGTTTTTAGTAGAGATGGGGTTTCACCATGTTGGTCAGGCTGGTCTTGAACTCCTGGGCCCAAGTGATCCTTCCACTTCAGCCTCCCAAAGTGCTGGGATTACAGATGTGAGCCACCATGCCCAACCCCCTCTGTAATTTTCTATTTATCATGAGCATTGGTTATTTTGCATTGAACTTTATCAGTTTACATACTGATCACACTCACTGCTTGGTTCTAAAGGTTCAGACACTATACAGCACCTGTCTGTATATCCCTAGCACTTAGTACAAACAGGGCCTGGTATATAGCAGACATCGAGGAAATATCTAAAAGGAAAACAATATTTTTATTGGGGTGGTAAGTGCCTTAGTCACCTAGGAGAACTCACTAACTTTCTCTCCAACAATGGGACTTATCCAGCCTCCTTGGTGTCTTTAGCCCTCTTCTTCCTAGGACCCTATTAGAATAGTGACATTATCATGGTCAAGAACCAGATCTTCTTTTGAACTTATTCTAACCTTGATTTTTCTCATGTTGTGTGTTTTGGGTTTTGATAGCAAATTAAGGCCCTCCCTAACCCCCCATTTTTTTAACCCTAAATTTGGCCTGCAGACTCGGGAAGAGCATTGGTTTTCCAATGAGGATTCTCAGGTGATTTAGCAGGAATGAGACTTAAAGAACAAATTGTACAATATAGATAGCTAAGGAACTCACTGCTATATTGAGCTTCTGTGGTCCGTATCTATATATATATATTTTTTTTCCCTGAGACAGTCTTGCTGTGTCGCCCAGGCTGGAGTGCAGTGGCACGATCCTGGGTCACTGCAACCTCCACCCCCCATTTCAAGCAATTCTCCTGCCTCAGCCTCCCAAGTAGCTGGGATTATAGGCATGTGTCACCACGCCTGGCTAATTTTTGTATTTTTAGCAGAGACAGGGTTTCACCATGTTGGCCAGGCTGGTCTTGAACTCTTGACCTCGCAATCTGCCTGACTCAGCCTCCCAAAGTGCTGGGATTACAGGCGTGAATCACCGCCCCGGCCCCTGGTCCATATGTTTTCATTCAATAGTATTGGGCTTCATTTTCCTTTTTCTTTTCTTTTCTTTTTGGAGGGAAGTTGGTAGTGGGTATTGTTTAGTTAGAACTTAGTATAAATGATCCTTTTGACAAGGGAACAAAAGCCCTCATTCTGATTGGCACAGTATTTGAAATCAAAGTCATAGCTATCATTACGAAGACCTCATTTCCTGATGATTGATTTAACATAATTGCCTCTTGGAGAACCTACCCTGGAAAATACATGGATGCTGGCAATGAGTGACTAGCTACATTCGTTCCCTTCCCTCACTCCCTCCAGTTTGTCTTTTGGATCCAACAAGTCAGTTGGAGGAAGGAGTTATGCGGGAAATGGCTGTCAAATCTGAACAGTTTCTCACTGCACTCTTTCTAAAAAACTTCAGAAATTGTCTATTATCCAGTTTACTGGTTGGATTGTGGACCAATTGTTTCTGCGTTGTGTTATCTCACCTAGAATCAACAGAAATTGATAGCATCTTTTAGCCCTGGAACCAAGAGATTCAATTTTGTCTCCTGCTCATTTGGAAAAGACAGGCAAAAAATAACCCCAAATCAGTGGGGAAATAGACTCTTGAATTTGAAACGAACCATACAGTATTATTTAATCTATTTATCTTTATTCTTTTTCTACCCCAGAAAGATAATTATCTTTTTTTTCTAAGACTCTCAAGAGGAGATTCTGTGTTTCTCTTTGACATCTATTCTGGGCTCTAATAAGATTTTTTTTTTTTTTTTTTGAGATGGAGTCTCACTTTGTTGCCCAGGCTGGAGTGCAGTGGTGTGATCTCAGCTCACTGTATCCTCCACCTCCTGAGTTCAAGCAATTCTCCTACCTCAGCCTCTTGAATAGCTGGGATTACAGGTATGCGCCATCACACCTGACTAATTTTTTTTTACTTTTAGTAGAGACAGGGTTTCACCATGTTGGCCTGGCTGGTCTTAAACTCCTGACTTTAGGTGATCTGCCCACCTCGGCCTCCCAGATTACAGGTGTGAGCCACTGCGCCCAGCCTCTAATAACTTTTTATAATTAGACAAGAAATTATTAATGTTTTCCCTTATATTGCTAGGGAAGTTCATTTCATCCTGTGCAATCCTTGGGGAAAAAAAATAGTCTTATCTCTACCTTGGCTCTTCATAGTATTCATTCAGCACATCTTTATTGAGCACCTACTGTGTGCTGGACACTGTGCTAGGCCCTGAGGCTGCAGAAGTGCATAGCACAGAACAGTAATGCCCCAGGCTCATGAGTTAGTGGAGGAGAGTTTTTTAAATTTTAAAATAATAAAAATTATTTTACATTTTTAAAATAATTTTAAAATTATGTTTTAAATAATTTTATTTAAATATAAAATAGTAATAAATAGTAATAAAATCATTTCTATTGGCTTTATATTATATATGCACTTATATGTATGTATCTGTGTGTGTTAATATATATCTATATCTATATGTGTAATAATGCCAAGTAGGTTTAAAACCAAAGAGGGAAGTAAAAGCGAGGTAATGGCCGGAGAGAGAGTGACCAGGGAGTATTTTTGATAGGATGTTCAAAAAAGGCATTGAGCAGGGACCTGAATCATGAACTGAGGGGAGAGAGTGAGGATAGAACCTTCCAGACTGGGGAGCAGCAAGTGGGAGGCTATGAGGGTGGGAGATTGGAAAGGCAGCTGGGGAACAGGATGATCTGAGGAATTTTCTTCAGGTCCTTCCAAGTCTTTATTTTCTCTGTTTTTTTGAGAGGGTAGAGAAGGTTGGCAGGGGCGTCCAGGCAGGAGAGCAAGAGTCCAAATCACCTCCCGGGTTCAAGCGATTCTCGTGCCTCAGCCTCCTGAGGAGCTGGGATTACAGGCATGTGCCACCACGCCCAGCTAATTTTGTATTTTTAGTAGAGATGGGGTTTCACCATGTTGATCAGGCTGGTCTTGAACTCCTGACCTCGGGTGATCCACTCACCTTGGCCTCCCAAAGTGCTGGGATTACAGGTGTGAGCCCAGCCTCATATGTCTTTTATCTGGAAAAGTCTTCCCTCCGCCCTGCCACCCCCCACCCCCCAACCTGATATCCATTTTGTTTTCTTATGTTTTCAACAAAGCTTTGGAAAATACAGGTACGTGAGAGCTATTTGCATTTCTTCACTTTCCACCCCCTTGTGATCAGCGACCCACTAAACATCAAATCCAGTGGAAAATCATGACTCATGATTTTGCTGAAATTCTCAGTATATTTGCAGTGCTTAATCATTCTCATCCTTCCTTTCTGGTGACATCTTACCAGTCCCCCTTTGGGCTTCTCTTTCTTTGCCTATCCATTAAATTAGTTTTCTATCCCCCTACATTTCATCAGCAGTCCACTTTTTCCTGGCATTCTCTCCTGGAATCTCACCCAGACTCACAGTTCTACTTAGAATTTAGGGGCTCAGGCTCCCAAATTGATTCTCCAGCCAAGCTTTCTTTCCTAAATGTCAGAATGAAATCCCCCTGCTCTTGCCAGATAGCTTACTTATCTGTCCAACAGCCACTTGTATTCAATGGGTCTAAAATAGAATACATTACCTGATAGCTTTTTTCTCCCAGTTCAGCTTTCTCTGTCTCCTTTATTACTTATACCCAGAAGAGTTGAATGGAACCAAATCTACTCAGTCACTCAAGCCAGGAACCTCAGCATCATTTCTCTCTTTTCCTTTTCTCTAATCCCCCAAATCCACTTAGTTACCAAGCCCTGCTGATTTTGCTTCACAAATGTTTCTTGAATCCCTTCCTACTATGACTGGTCTAGTTGAATCCCTAGTTATAACTTGCTGGGACCATACCAACGGACTCTTTTTGCATTCCTCTGCCTCTGGTGGTTTTTTTTTTTTTTGTTGTTGTTGTTGTTTGTTTGAGATGGAGTCTCACTCTGTCACCCAAGCTGGAGTGCAGTGGCGCTATCTCGGCTCACTGTAACCTCTGCCTCCTGGGTTCAAGTGATACTCCTGTCTCAGCCTCCCAAGTAGCTGGGATTACAGGCACCTGCCACCATGCCCAGCTAATTTTTTTTTTGTATTTTTAGTGGAGACCAGGTTTCACCATGTTGGCCAGGCTGGTTTTGAACTCCTGATCTCAAGAGATCTGCCACCCTCGGCCTCCCAAAGTGCTGGGATTACAGGTGTGAGCCACCATGCCTGCCCTGCCTCTGGTTTTGTGCCATCTCTCACCCACCTAACTCTATGCATTTTCTTGCTTCCAGCCCTTCACTGGATCAGAGTCCATTGCTCCTTACACGATACTCAAGCCATGCTACTCAGTACAGCACGTGGCTTCCTAGTGCAAATCACTAATACTCCTATAGGATGAATACAAACAATGAAAAAACTATTGCCGTGCAAGTGAGTCTTTGTGGCTCAGGATAAAATTACTGGTGACAGTATCATGCAGATTATGCAACAGCCAAATCTTAATTTAGATGGAAGTAAAAATTATGTGCTGTTGAAAATTGATAAGTCAAGAAGCGTTTCTTGTGAATGCAACAACACTAGCATCAAAGAAGCAGAGATTGAATCAAATTGTTTTGTGAAATGTCAGAATGTATAAAAGCAGTATTTGTTATTTAACGTATTTTTTTTTTTTTTGAGATGGAGTCTCCCTCTGTCACCCAGGCTGGAGTGCAGTGGCACGATCTCAGCTCACTGCAACCTCCACCTCAGCTCACTGCAACCTCCACCTCCCAGGTTCAAGCAATTCTCCTACCTCAGCTTTCCAAGTAGCTGGGATTACAGGTGCCCGCCACCATGCCCAGCTGATTTTTGTATTTTTATTGGAGATGGGGTTTCACCATGTTGGCTAGGCTGGTCTCAAACTCCTGACCTCAGGTGATCCATCTGCCTTGGCCTCCCAAAGTGCTGGGATTACAGGCGTGAGCCACTGCATCTGGCCATGTAATATATTTTATATAATATTTTATTTTATTTTAAATACACATCTGTAACTAAATTAATGGTTTAAGTATGGCTAATAGATATTTGGTATCCATATCTGCATCTCTAAACGTTTATAAATTCACATTGATCGAACCTCCCTTTTAAAATGGGCAAATAGAGATTTGCCCTGTATTCAGAGTCAGAGTTTATTTGGGCAATAGTAGAATTTTGCTTGAGTCTGAGGCCTCTTTATGAACATGTTTGACCTCTGCACACCATGTCTCTGCAACTGTATCTAGTTACTCCTGTCTACACTTTCGTTTTTTCTTTTCTTTCTTTTTTTTTGAGAGACAGGGTCTTGCTATACCACACAGATTGGAGTGTAGGGCCACAATCATAGCTCACTGCAGTCTTGAACTCATGGGCTTAAGCAATCCTCTCTCCTCAGCCTCCCAAGTAGCTGAGACTACAGGTGCACGTTACCATGCCTGGCTAATTTTTTCATCTTTTATCGAGATGGAGTCTTGCTATGTTGCCCAGGCTGATCTTGAACTCCTGGCCTCAAGTGATCCTCCTTCCTCAGCCTCCCAAAGTGCTGCCATTACAGGTGTGAACCACAACACCTGGCCTCAACACTTATCTTGGATGAAATAAGCTTAGAGCTGATCGAGTAGGCAAAATGATGTTGTTGCATGGGACTCTGAAAAGATCATGCCTTCTAAAATGTTTAGAAGCGTCTCTATTTAGGTCAGGGAAGAGGTTCCAGAAGGCCTTTTGGGAGATAAATGCAGGCAACTGTTGACAATCAACCACTAACCCCATCTGTTGGGATCAGGTAGAGCCATGTGTTTAGGCTCTTTTGAGTGGCTTTGTTCAGATCTATGAAGGTTCCTGGATTGAAAATTAATACGTTGAAAGTTCTGTATGTTTGTTCTTTCCTTAGCACTGTGGCAAGATACCAAAGAAATAGAAGGCATATTTTACATCTTCAAGCTTCTTATAATTTATTCGAGCTTAAAATGTGGAACAAAATAAGTTTAGACTCAGGGTTTCATTTTGAGTATGAAGGTTCTCCACCTCATGCACAGTATGTTCGTCCTAATATCTGTGGAATAGTTATTCAGTACTGACTCATACGACTCTGGGAAGAATTTTCTAGCTCTTGAGACATCTCAAATCACAAAAACAGAAAAATGTGTGTTTCTTTTTGTTGTTTTGTTTTTAGAAATAATGACTTGAGTGTGAGAGAAATGGAATTTCCAAGGCAGGATGGGAGCAGTGGGGAAAATATCACTTCGAAATTCTCATTGAAAACAATTGAGAAGTGGGGAAGAGTACTTTTCTTCACAAGCACATTCACACTTAGGGTTTAGGTTTGTATTTAGTTAGGACTGAGAGAACAAATAGAAGCAGAGATCTGCTGAGGAGAGATGGCACTTTAATAAGCAATTTTTTTTTTCGTTTCTAAATTTGCTGGAGTCCAGGCAAGCATGTACACAAATAGCCACAATTTGTAAATTGTTCCTGACATATTTTCTGCTCTTTGAATTCCCTGAATGCCTGCAATATAATTAGAAATAAGCAATCTTTTATATCAGTAATAGGAAAAAGGACATGGTTTCAGAATGCAAATAAGATGTTACCTAAACAGAAAATTATAGCATGGCTGCGACTGTTCTCGTTATGACGGAAGACGGGAAACTGTTGAAAGCAATAAGAACTGTGCAGTGTTGCATTCTGACATTTGTCTCTGCCTTTCAAAGCCACCTACTGCATACACAGGCACAAGAAAGATGATGCAGATGAAAGGGGAAGAAGGCAGAGCCCTCGGGAGAAGTGCTCCTCATCTTTGCGGCTGTTTCCTTAGTGTGGTTGAGCCCATTGGCTTGAAAACGGAGTTTCGATGCACTTTCTCTGTCCTGTTGCATAGCCCCTTTCTGATACAGACTGGAGGAGGTAGACTTTTCCAGGGGTCCAGCTTTCCACTGCGGTTGATAGCCAGTTGATCCATTCCTTCATTCATTATCTGATCCATTTATTCATTCACTCACTCATCTGATGGGTGTGTGATTCGTGCTATCCTGAACTCTGGGATGACATCAGTGTACCCAAAAAGACAAAGCTCCTGCCCTCACAGGACTTTATAGTCCAGTGGAAGAGACAGATAATAGACAAAGATACATAAGGTAATGTTATCTGGCTCTGCAGGGAAAAAGAAAAGCAGGGTACTGGGATGAAAGTGTGACTGGGCTGTTATTTTAGATCAGGCAGTCAGGGAAGACCCCTGTAAGATGATGGGTTTTGAGAAAAGACCTGAAAGATGTGAAAGAGAAAATGCCAAGAGTGAGTGTGAAGAGATTATCCTGGTCAGAGGGAGCACCCTAGGAGGGAGCACTCCAGTCAGAAGGAGCATCCGGGTCACAGGGAGCATTCGTGAGAAGGCCCTGGAGCTTGTAGGTGCTTGGTGTATTTGAGGGACAGTCAAGAGGCTGGTGTCCAGCAAGTGTTCCAGCGGGCAGGGACCACTAGCACTTTCAGATCTCAATTAGAGTATGACAGGAATCCATCAGGAGGTTTTATTCAGGGGAGTTCCATGAGCTGACACACATTCTAAAGTATTGTTTGGGTGGCTATGTGGAGAAGAGATTCTGGGAGCTGGCGGACAAGGGTGGAATCCAGATCAGCAGTTTGGAGGATGCGTTTGTAGTGGGGGAGGATAGCTTGAGCTGCAGAAAGAGTGGCGGAGTTGAATGTTGAGCTGATGGGATTTGCGGATAGGTAAGGACTCTGAGAGAAGGAGAAAGGAGGAGGAGGATTCTTAGCCTTTGGGATTGAGTGATTTACAGGGAGTGGCTGGAGAAAAACAAGTTTGGGTTGGAAGAACAAAAGTTCTGTGTCTGAGATGCCTCTGAATACTCAAGTGGTAACGTCAAGTAGGCAGATGGATTCATGACTTTGGAGTTCATGGAAGACATTGGGGTTGGAGATATAAATTTGGGAATGACGAAAGTCATGAGATTGGTTGAGATTGCCCAGGGGAGCCTGTGTAGGCAGGAGAGCGAAGAGCACTGAGGACCGAGCACCAGGGTCCTCCATTTGGAAATCGGGAAGTGGAACAGAATCCAGCAGAGGGAACTGAGCAGAGGTGTTGCCAGTGAGGATGCAGGAATACTGGGGGAGAAAGGTTTCTTGGAAGCCAAATGAGGGATGTTCAAAAAGAGGGGAATTGACTAGACATGTGAAAGAAATGCTGAAAGGATGAGCAAGCTGAGATCTGAGATGGGAGCACTGGATTGGGCCACATGGGCACCAGTGGTGACCCCGACAAAAGCAGTCTCAGTAGAATGGTGGAGATGCATCATGGCAGTAGGTTTCTCTCCAATTACATTCAACTCTTTGGCGACAAGTGCAGAATAGATGGAGAGTCGGCATTAAGTAGGCATATGTGTAGGTATTTGCTAGAGGGTGGCTCTAGCGAGGGCCACTGCTTGATGAGGGGGGAAGTGTGGACATAGGTGGGAGGTTGGAGTAAAAAGGTGGCTGGGCCAATGGCACAGAGGTGCCAGTGGTACTAAAGAACTGGATCCAGCGTTCACAAGAAAGGAGCTGGAAATAAATATAGCAGGCAGGTGGTTCAACACCTGGAATGCCTGCCATTGAGATTTTAGAGGTAGATCTGATAAGTAGTGCCCTTGGGATTAGTTGGTTGAGATGGTGCACAGGACAGGTTCATTGGAGGTGAGGCAGATGGCTTATCTACATGAATAGTGGCACCTGAATAATGCTGCTGGAATCTTCAGTGAATGCAGGATGGGTCTAGGTGGGAACTAGGTGATTGCAAGAGGTGAGCCCGTAGCCTACAGGATTAGAGAGTTGTAAAAAATTACTAATCAAATTATTACTCGCTTTGGAATAGACTCAGCTGCACAGAACCAATGCTTGATTTGCAAAAGTATGAAACTGGAGTTGAGTATGCAGAAAGCGTTGACGTTCCAAGCTTCATAGGAAGCTGTTTAATTCCAATATAGAGAGGAGGCAAAAACTGAGGAATAGCTGTCTGGAGCTGCAGGGAAAACCTATAAGCTGATTTTTAGAATCCAAATCCTAGTCCACAGGAAATCTTCCATTTCGATAACCTACAAGTATCATCAGAAGTCCTTGACACAAGTGGATAAGAATTGCTGTGTTTTGATGGTACTCTAGAAACATAGACACAAATCATTCAAGTGCTCCAGCCCCTTTGTCAAAACAGGCCTTTTAAAGGGATGATAAATCTGAAGAAAGTTAAGTATCCTACTGCAAGAAAGACTCATTTAATATTACCACTTTATATTTAATGATGAGTTCCTCTCGTTATGCATTTTTCTTTGTTCAGAAGAGCTTTAGAGTTCCCTTGTCCAGTTTTAGAATTCTGTTGTGATTTTGAGTGGAATTATGTTAAAGCTATCCATTTGAAAAGACTTAGTAGCTTTAAGGTTTCCAGTCTTTCTATTCAAGAATGCAGAATGCTGCTGCAGCGATTTCCTATTTTATATTTTTCAGTTTATCTCATGCCTTCCTTTTTATTAAACTCTAATGTTCAAGATAGATCCCAGAGCTTTCCTGCCAGTCTGCCTCACCATAGTAATATAGTCTGGTCCTTAAGATACTGAACATGATAGTTTAGAACCAATGACTACCTGAAAAATCCAAAGCGAGACACAGCGCAGGTAAATTTAATGGGGTGACTGTTTCTTTGTATTGAACATTAAATAAAGCCAAGAGGAGATTATTCACCTCCAGGTAGTCATAATTGCTGCAGTTTTAATGGAGCTAGATGTCTTCCAAGCTAAAGACTTTCTGAGCCACAGCCTTGCACTGCAGTAGATAACAGAATGGAAGGGATGAACGCTCTGAGGATTCATTGTTTGAAATGAAATTTAGAATAGTGCACTGGCCCTGCAAATGGCTGGGCAACAGTACAAAGACCAACATGGCCTGAGGCCATCCACAGTGACAACGCTGCTTTTGTGAGCCAAGCTGTGGGCAGCCTAGCAGGCCCAGGGGCACTGTGGTCCTTTATAAGGTTTCTTTCTTTCTTTCTTTCTTTTTTTTGGAGACAGAGCCTTACTCTGTCACCCAGCCTGGAGTTTTGTGGTGTGATCACAGCTCACTGCAGCTTTGACCTCCCAGCTCAAGAAATCCTCCCACTTCAGCCTCCCAAGTAGCTGGGACCACAGGTGCACGCCACTATACCTAGCTAACTTTTGTATTTTTTGTAGAGACAGAGTTTTGCCATGTTTTCCAGGCTGGTCTGGAACTCCCGAGCTCAAGCAATCCACCTGTCTCAGCCTCCCAAAGTGGTGGGATTACAGGCTTGAGCCACTGCACCCAGCCCAGATTCTCCTTTCTATGGGCAGAATTGGATTAAAGACCAGGCCCTACTTGGGCCCAACTTCAGTTTTCACACTATGATATTATACAGATTGCATCCCCTTCCCTCCACAATAAGGAGGGATGGAGGTGTGTATAATAGCCATCTTCATGGCTTTCCCCTGGACCAAGTCTTTTTGATGAGACAAGAATACATTTTTATTGGCTGTTTCTCCCTTACAAATGAATGGGATTCCTCGGTCATTTCTCAGTCAAGCCTCAGAAATTGTAGTCACCTGACCCTGAATCAGACACAATCCACCGGGAGAACAGAGACTAGAACCTGCCTTCCCAGATTCCGTGTAATTAACTGGCTAGCTTCTGCCACCATGAAACCTTGAAAAGCTTCAGTACTGGCGATGCTTGAGCATGTTTTGCATCATGTAAATACTACCCAGGAGGTACCTCAACTGGTTCAGTCATAAAGATGGCGCTGCACTGGGTCATCTCTGTGATTTTCATCCAGGTTTTTGGCAGCAGCCATCTGTGGTTACAGAGGATTTGAAGAGGAAGCATACTGAGAAAACAGAGCTATAGTAACATCCAGGCCTGTGAGGGTAGGTAGACTCCAGTGCACATGTGTTAACAGTAGGAGGCCTGCTCTGCGTAGAATATGGACTTGGCTGTGTTTTATGCACTTTCCACTCACATGCGCCCATGCTTATGTTAGGCCAGTATGCCTTAAGGATGCAGGACTGCGTGATGAACCCTCATGATAATTCCACCTAAAAGCATTTTCTCGGCCTGGCACGGTGGCTCAGCCTGTAATCCAACCACATTGGGAGGCCGAGGTGGGCGGATCATTTGAGGCCAGGAATTCGAGACCAGCCTGGCCAACATGATGAAACCCCATCTCTACTAAAAATACAAAAATTAGCCAGGTGTCATGGCACACACCTGTAATCCCAGCTACTGGGGAGGCTGAGGCAGGAGAATCGCTTGAACCTGGGAGACAGAGGTTGCGGTGAGCTGAGATCGCGCCATTGCACTCCAACCTGGAAGCTAGAGTGAGACTCCATCTCAAAAAAAAAAAAAAAAAGAAGCATTCTCTCTCCCTCAAGCAGGTTGTGTGAGTTTAATTGAGAAAAGCAGTTGACCCAATACTGCTGAAGTCAGGTGTTACTTTCCTTGCCAATGATTAGAGTTCCAGATGAAACTCAAGACTACTAGGTTAAACAGTTGCATAGAGTGGCTTTAATGAATAAAGTAGCAGAGCGGGCCAGCTGAATTCTATGGTTTAAAGACAATCTGTGTAGGGCTGCAACTCTTGGATTCGGTCCTGAAGTAGTCAAAGAAAATTTGCAGAGAGCCAGGAAGTTAACAATGTTCTGTGATAGTTGCTGAGTTCAGAAAAAGCTTCCTAATCATCGTACTTGGATTTTCTGAGCATTTCTCTTCTCCGTGTCTTGGATTGTGCATGCGTGTGGTGTGTCTCCTAAAGAAAGTTGAAAGAGCATTTTTTTTTTTTTTTTTTTTAGATATAGGAATATGTACATTCTGATATCTAGGCTGGAGTACAGTGGCACGATCTTGGCTCACTGCAACCTCCACCTCTTGGGTTCAAGCGATTCTCCTGCGTCAGCGTCCCGAGTGGCTGGGACTACAGACGTGCACCACCATGCCTGGCTACAGTTTTTTGTATTTGTAGTAGAGATGAGGTTTCGACATGTTGGCCAGGCTGGTCTTGAACTCTTGACCTCTGGTGATCCACCCACCTTGGCCTTCCAAAGTGCTGGGATTACAGGTATGAGCCACCACACCGGCCCGGCCGAAAGAGCATCTGTTTTAATTGGTTCCCCAGAATGTCATATTCTGGAGTGCTCAAGTAATTTAGTAGCATTATTGTTAACAGTAACAACCACCTCTAGCAGATGTCATGGGATGGAGAAATAAAACAGACCAATAAATCCTGGCCAACACCTTCATATTTAGTAAAACTGAAGAAAATAAATAAGCCTGATCTGTGGCTGCCGAAGAAAAGCTAAAGAAATTCTGCAGCCTGTGAGGCAAACATACACATTTCTTCAGGCAACTGGGATGTTTTCACATATGCTACAGCAGATTTTATAAATTGGGGAGCTCTCTTGTTTTGAAGACAATTTAAAGGTGTCTTCTTGTCATTTGCCACTTAGAAATGTCCAAATCAAGAACAGATTTTGTCGTATTTTGCAACGTGTTCCATGGGATGCCAGCTCTATGAACTACTTAGTAAAAAAAAATAAAAATTTTAAAAAGGCTTTGTGGAAGAATAAGTTTGGGAAATGACATATATCATATTCTCTTTTGGTAGAGTAATAATACCCACTTAACATTTAGAGGCTCTGGAAATCCTACAGAAAAGAAACTTACTTAAAATTATTTAACCCAGAATTTTTCAGACATTTTAAATAGCTTTAGTGAGGTATGATTGACGTACAAAAAGTGCACATATTTAAATGGTACAATTTTGATAAATTTTGACATATGTGCATACCTGGGAAACCATCACTGCAATCAAGTTAATTTTTTTTATTGCTAAGCTGTATTTTGTTTATGGATATACCAAATTTCTTTATCCATTCACTTGCAGAACAGACATTTTGGCTGTTTCCAGTTTGAGGCTATTACAAATAAAGCTGCAACAAATATTTGTGTACAAGTCTTTGTGTGGACATATGATGTCATTTTTGGGGGATAAATACCAAGGAGTGAAATGGACCGTATGGTAGGTGTATGTTTTAACTTTTTAAGTAACTACCAAACTGTCTTCCGAAGTGCTTTTGGCATTTTATATTGCTACTAGCAGCATCTGAGAGTTCCATCTCCTCCATATCCTCACCAACACTTAGTATGGTCAGTCTTTATAATTTTATCTTAGGCCGGGTGCAGAGGCTCACGCCTGTAATCCCAGCACTTTGGGAGGCCGAGGTGGGCGGATCACAAGGTCAGGAGATTGAGATCATCCTGGCTTACACAGAGAAACCCTGTCTCTACTAAAAATACAAAAGATTAGCCGGGCGTGGTGGCGGGCGCCTGTAGTCCCAGCTACTCAGGAGGCTGAGGCAGGAGAATGGCATGAACCCAGAAGGCAGAGCTTGCAGTGAGCTGAGATTATGCCACTGCACTCCAGCCTGGGTGACAGAGCGAGACTCTGTCTGAAAAAGAAAAAAAAAAAGCCATGTATCTGAACTTGGGTATCTCTGTTTTAAGAGGTGAGAGGCAGTCCCCTCTCCCAATTTTTCCCTTGCATTTACTTGTCTCCTCTCTGCAATACCAAGTTCTTTTCTTTTCTTTTCCTTTTTTTGAGACAGGTCTGGAGTGCAGTTGAGAGATCTCAGCTCATTGCAACCTCTGCCTCCCAGAGCTCAAGTTATCCTCACACATCAGTCTCCCAAGTAGCTGTGACCACAGGCATGCACCATCATGCCCAACAGGTTTTTTTTTGTGGGGGAGTAGAGACAGGGTTTCACCATGTTGCCCAGGCTGGTCTCAGACTCCTAGGCTCAAGCGATCCATCTGCCTCAACCTCCCAAAGTGTTGGGATTACAGGCATGAGCCACCATGCCCAGCCCCAAGTTCTTTTCTTCTTCATAAACCCCATGAAGAGTGGGGCGTACTTTGCTGTCCTCTGTCATTCCCCACATCGTGATGGATGATGGATGACAGATCATGGAGCCCCTGCTATGTGCCAGGCAGTGTGTGAGGAGTAGGGAGCTCTTAGGATGCTCTTAAACCCATTGTGCAGTAACAGACCAACACACTGAAACAGCAGGAGTTGCAGCAGAGAAAGAGTTTAATCATCTCAGGGTAGCTGAATGAGAAGATGGGAGGAAACCTCAAATTAGCCTCCTCAAGAGGTTTGAGGATGGGGTTTTTAAGGAGTCTGGACAAATGATGGGGTAAAATGTGGGGGTCACTGATTGGTCAGAAAGTGTAGGGTGAAGTCATGGGACAGGGAGCTGAAGAAACCACATTCTTGTGCTGAGTCGGTTCCTTGGCGGGGGTCTTCAGACCAGGTGGCATTTGCCAGTTTCACTGGAATTTCTGAATTCCTGAAGCAATTCTTGGGTAAAAAGGTCTAGGGTGAGAGATTTATCTATAGAAACAATGGGAGGGCAGGTGGTCAGCATGCTACCTGTCACTCAGCAGCTGCAGGGAAGTGGGTTGAAGTACACCAGGGCACCCTGGTCATGCCTAACTATAATCCTGCCTAAAGCCTGGCTTGTCATTCTTGTTCACCCTGTGAGGGTGGTTTTAGTAACACTACGGCAAAACAGACAAAACCTCCTGTCCTCACAGAGCTTGTGTTAGCTTTGGGCAGCAGAAATGATAATGAAGTAAAAAGAGCATGTAGAAACTAGATAGCAGTGAGTGATACTGTGATATTGTGAAATATATAATTGGTTTTCCTCCGGCATTCTAGCATACAGTTCCTAAAACCCATGGAATCTCTGGAGTTGATAAGAGAATCTTTTGTATGAGTGATAAGAGTATCTTTTGTATGGAAGCGAGATGGCTGGTGGCTGGGAGCCCCTAGATAGCTTCAGGATGGAGGCTGGTGAAGAGAAAGACCAGGGCATGATTAGAAGGTTGGGACTTTCAATCTCACCTCCTGACCTCTGGGCTAATGACTTAATGATTCAGGCTTAAATCATGACGCCTCCATAAAAAACCCAAAGGGCAAGGTTTGGATGAGTTCCTGATAGCTGAACACTTGGAGGTTCCTGGAGGATAGTGTGCCTGGAAAGGGCGTGGAAGCTCCACGCCCCCTTCCTATATAACCTCCCTATGCATTGCTTCCATTTGGCTGTTCATCTGTATCCTTTAAAATACTCTTTGTAATAAATGGTGAACATAAGTGAAGTGTTTCCTTGGGTTCTGTGAGCCATCCTAGTAAATTAATTGAACCCAAGGAAGGTCTAGTGTGAACCCCAATTTATAGTGGATCAGTCAGAAGCATAGGTGACAACCTACTACTTGCAATTGACCTGAAGTATGGGCAGTCTTTTGGGACTGAGCCTTCACCTGTGGGATCTGATGCTACCTCCAGGTAGATAGTGTCTGGATTGAATTGAATTACCCCCACTCCATGTTGGTGGGGAGAAATCCCCATACAGTTTGGTGACCAGAGGTCATAGAAGTATTCTGTGTTGATTTTTATATGAGAGTAGGGAAAAATATTATGGGATTTTATTCCTATATATAGTACAGGTATGGAGAAAAATACAGCAATAAAGGGGGTGTAGGGGATGTTGATGTTTTAAGTGGGATATTGAGACTGTTCACTGAGAAGATGGCATGTGAGTAAGGTCTGAAGGATGTTGGCCAAAAGCCGTTATGATGGGAATGTCTAGAGGAAGAGAATACCAGGCCAAGAGAGAAAAACAGGAACAGAAGCCCAGAGGTTGGAACAAGCTTGGTGTGTTCACAGCAAGAAGGCCCCTGGGGCTGGGGACCTTGTTTATTTTCCTAAAATACATGAAGACAATACCCTAATGGGCTGTCTTTTTCTGGAAATCCCCAAGAGAAGTGAAACATCCAGATACCCTTTCCAAGATGGTAGCAGAAGGTGACAGTGTCGGTTGACAGAGTCAAGGTCCCTCTAGGGACGGACTGCCCTGGTTCTGGAAAGGAGAGATCCCCTTGTGCCATTAAGAAAATGTGGCACATATACACCATGGAATACTATGCAGCCATAAAAAATGATGAGTTCATGTCCTTTGTAGGGACATGGATGAAGCTGGAAACCATCATTCTCAGCAAACTATCGCAAGGACAAAAAACCAAACACCGCGTGTTCTCACTCATAGGCGGGAATTGAACAATGAGAACACATGGACCCAGGAAGGGGAACATCACGCACTGGGGCCTGTTGTGGGGTGGGGGGAGGGAGGAGGGATAGCATTAGGAGATATACTTAACGCTAAATGATGAGTTAATGCGTGCAGCACACCAACATGGCACATGTATACGTATGTAACAAACCTGCATGTTGTGCACATGTACCCTAAAACTTAAAGTATAATAATAATAATAATAATAAATAAAAATAAAAAAATAAAAATGAAGATGAAGGCCAGTGCCATCACGTGCTCTGGACCTGAGGCGCCAGAGTAAAGCACGCTGTCCCCGGTCTCTCCAAGTCTGTCGTGAGACCATGGACCATGTTCAGCCAGCTCCTAATAGGGACATCAGAATCAGGCAGCTAGAGAAAGCCCTTTCACTGGGAAAATTGCCTGCAATTTCTCTGTCTCTCCTAGCTTCAGATTTTTCTTCCACCTTGATTACCTCTCATGAGCAAATGGGGGGAAAAGTAATTGGTAGGTTTCAATCAAGCATCGTGAACTGATTGCGAAAGAAAGGTTGAGGCCATTTTCCCCGCTTTTTGCCCATTTTAACGTGGCACTGGCCAGAATGAAAAAATTGTGTTTGAGGTTCTAATTGCCCACCCTTCAAAGGAGTCAGGAAAATGGGCTGTAATATAAAGCCGCCAATAATTTTGCCTTGTGAATTACTATTCAGAGACCCAGTGTCATGAATGTTCTTGAAGCAAAGAGAGGTGAGAGAGAAAGGCAGTTAGATTGGAAAGACAGGAACATTTGATCACAAAGCCTTTTCTGGCATTTTCCCTCCAAAGCACACACCTAACACACACCATCATTTTTTATAACTTGAGGCTTACAATGATCTAAAGAAAAGGGAGTGTATGTGTGTGTGTTGGTGCCCTTCTTTATAGAGATGATGATTCTTTTGGCTCTTTTGATAAGATGATGCTTAATTAGATTTTATCTAACCCAGGTGGGACACTAACCTACATTATGCATTTTTTCTTAGCCTACCTTGTAGCCAAGGACCTGCATTTGCTGGGTGCCTGGCTAGGGCCTGGGAGCTTATTTTGTGGTTGTGGGCACAGGGAAATTGGAGTGGTTTCTGTAGGCTCTAAGTGTTACTGAAACCAGGGGTTTGGTCTAGGTCTTGTTGCTTGCTGCACAGAAAGCCAATCACTGAAACAGTGGGTACTGCCAGGAAAGGCCTTAATCAGGTGTTGCAGCTGAGGAGATAGGAGGTCAGTCTCAAATCCTTCTCTTCAACTGACTAAAATTAGGGGGTTTATATAGCAGGGAAGAAATGGAACCATGTGTGGGGAAACAGGAATTAGGGAGGAGTAGAGGAGTTGGTCAATAGGAAGCACATGATCAGTTAGGTGATCATGACAGGTGAGGGGTTTCATTGTCCAGATGCAGTGATTGGTAAGTTTCAGCTCCATGATACTATCTAGGCACTAGGTGGTTGGTTTTCTGAGAAAGGAACTCAGATAAGACGAATGTAACTTTCTCAAGTTTTAAGGCTGGGAGGGTCCATTTCTGTGTTTATTCAAAAGAAACCATAAATATCAGTTTCATGCAACAATTAGGCCTGTTTCATAAGTTCCTGTGATTGTGATCTTGCTAGCACTATGTTCTAACAAGCAGAGACAAACTTTTGGAACTTAACAACATGCTTCCTTGGCTTCTTTGTACTTGACTTTGGCTTTGGGGCCAGGGGATATGAAGCATTTGACCATTGCCCATTTCTCCCCTAAGTATTCTACAATAGCTCTTTATTTTTTATTTGACCACCATAATCCAATTTCTGTTTCCACCCATTGATCTTGATGGAGGCTTTTGGGCATGGCAGAGCATGGTTATGTCCCAAAATCACAAGAAGGAAACATTCCAGGTTTAACTTTGACACTCCCATGACTGGTCCCACAGAGCAGGGCTACCCTATAAGGCAGTGTGACAAGAGTAGCAGCTCAGGGCAGTTTTGCAGTTATATTTATAACCTACTTTTAATTACATTTAGATTAAGGGGCATTATATACAGAAAATCCTAGGAAAAGGGTGGCAGCTTTTGGGTCATTGGGTCATTGCCATGGAAAGGGGTGGTAGCTCCAGGATGTTGCCATGGCAGTGTTAAGCTGATATGGCACACTGGGTGGACATGTCTAATAGAAAGCTGCTTCCACCCTGCCCCTGTTTTAGCTAGTCCTCAGTTTGGTCCCGTGACTGAGCCTCGCCTTTGGAATCAAGTCCCACCTCCTTCCTCAGAAGGAGGGTCTGACACAGTAAGCATTGAAAGTGCTCTAAGGGAAAAGAAAGAAATAGATTAGAAAAGAAACAATGACTCCGAATTAGATCATCGTTAATAAGTAAATGCATGCGAACTGGGAAATCAACCAGAGCCACATGAATGTAGGATGACAGACACACGCATAAACATGCACAGCCATGGGTGCCTTTGTGGGAGATGAGGAAGGGAAGGGTGGACAGATTGTTGGAGCATTTGGCATCAGTGGGTTTGAATAGCTTTTCCATAAAACTCTGTCTCACTTTGCAAATTAGCTGGACAACCTCAGGGGGTTCCAGAATCCCGCTGGCTTCCTGGGAAGTCCTCAGGTAGGTAACAGCTGTGTTCAGAAAGGTGGCTGTCACCCTGGCCATTATGAAAGCTTCATCTTTCTCCATTGGCAGTTCTTGGGGACATGAAAAATGCTCCACTCTGCCTCGGTATAATTAAACTTTGGGCTGAAGTTTTACCCTTAGCCTTGCTGGCAAATTCAATAATGATGAATTAATTGGAATATTTACAGTGTTAATGTGAACAAGATTTAAAATAATATACACAGCTCACTTCCTTACATTTCTTGTGACTTCCTCCCCTTTGAAAATGTTATTTCTGCATCTAATTGCACCAGTTTTTTCTTCCCAAAATAACCCTGTCTCCTCTTTTTCTCTCTTTGCTGTGATTTACTCCCTGTGTTTCTCTCGTGCTGTGTTTGAGATATATTTGCCCATCTGAGTGTTTTTGGTTCTGGTCTCTCCCTCCTTTCCCCCAGTTTATTCAACCTGCAGCCACTGTAATATTCTTTAGCTTCATTTGGGGTACAAAATGTATTCCACTCAGTTTTCAGTGGGAAAGAACGAGGAATGACTGGGTCCCAAACTCTACAATCTTTGTCTTATTTCCTTTGTCCACAGTTGGGTTGGAGGCCCTGGCTGTGCTTTCTTCTTAGAGCGGGACAGGGGAATGGGCTTTTGCTGGCTATGGCCAATACAGACAAAACCCAACATTGCTACCACTTCCTCCTCTCCATCAAGGATACTTCTGCTCATTTTTCAGGGCTCGCTCTTTCCTCTCAGGGTGTTCCCTGATGATTTCTTTGGAAGCAAGGTTTTGAAGGTGACAGGAGACAGGAACCTGCATTTTCTTTCTGGACCGATAACTTCAGGCTCCTATACCAGGCTGTTCACCTGCAAAATGGGAGAAGATTATAGGACCTTGAATTACCAGCAGCGGGGTTTTCCCCTCCCTCCTGGTGTCAGCTTTGCTCAGCATCCCTGCGACAGCCTTGCAGATGGACGCCTCAGCTTCTTGTCCACAGAGCATCCATCCTAGCTGAGGATGGAGCTTTCCCACAAAATCATGAGAGGGAACTGCATGTCCGGGGTGGGAGAGAAGGAACAGAGACAGTTCTACATCGGGCAGGAAACCCAGAGTGGACTCTGGATTTTCTCTTTGCTTTGGAGCAAAAATCATTTATGCTCACCAGTCCCAGGTGATTACTTTCCCTTGGCAAACATTTAAGTGATCATTTCTTACCTTGTCTCCTATTATACTGTCAACCATTAAGACTTTATTGCAACTGTGGTTTTGTCTTCATCAAGGAAGGGTGCCTGTGGTTGGAAGGGAGTATATTAGTCGGTTCTCACGCTGATATTAAAGACATACCCAAGACTGGGTAGTTTATAAAGGAAAGAGGTTTAATGGCCTCACAGTTCAGCGTGCCTGGGGAGGCCTCAGGAAGCTTACAGTCATGGTGGAAGGCACCTCTTCACAGGCAGCACAAGAAAGAGTGAGAGCTGAGCAAGTGGGGGGAGCCCCTTATAAAACCATCAGATCTTGTGAGAAGGAATCACGAGAATAGCATGGGGGAAACTGCCCCCATGATTCAGTTATCTCCACCTGGTCCCACCCTTGACACATGGGGATTATTACAATTCAAAGTGAGATTTGTTGTGGGGGTGGGGACACAGAGCCAAACCGTTTCTGGGAGCGAAACCCAGTTCAGACCAGCTAAAGGAGGAAGGCAGAATATATTCCAAGGAAACAATCCAAGGGCAGTGTGCTAAGTTGAGTCTCATGGGGTGCTAGAGTCAGGGGGTGGGAAATTGAGGGCACGTGTTCACATATTCTCCTTTGCCTCCCACCAGGGTCTCTTTTTTCTGTTTTCCATCAGCTCTCTTCATTCTGCAAACCTGCTTTCTTAGTGCAGTTGACTGATGCCCAGAAAAGCCAAACACTTAATGGCAAGAGTTGCAGAAGAGAAAGAGTTTGATAATTATAGGGCCAGCCAAGTTGGAAGGATGGGAGATGTATCTCAAGTCCTCCTCCTCACATATTTGGAGGCTAGAGTTTTTCAAGGGTAGTTTAGCAGGCAGAGGGCTAGGAAATGGATAAGGTGATTAGTTGGCTCAGGGATGAAATCACAGAGGGTTGAAGCTATCTTCTTGTGCAGAATCAATTTCTGGGTAGAGGTCACAGGACCCAGCTGAGTCAGTTTCTTGGTATAGGTTTCCCATCCAGGTGGTGCCAGCCGGTCCATCAGAACGTGAGGTCTGAAAAACACCTCAAATACCAGTCTTAGGTTTTATAATAGCGATGTTAAGAATAGGAGCAACTGGGGAGGTTATAGATCTTGTAACCTCCAGCTATATGAGTCCTGAACCATAATTCTTTTTTTTTTTCTTTTTTTTTTTTTTTGAGATGGAGTCTTGCCCCTGTCGCCCAGGCTAGAGTGCAGTGGCGCGATCTCGGCTCACTGCAAGCTCCGCCTCCCGGGTTCACGCCATTCTCCTGACTCAGCCTCCGAGTAGCTGGGACTACAGGTGCCCGCCACCACGCCCGGCTAATTTTTTGTATTTTAGTAGAGACAGGGTTTCGCCATGTTAGCCAGGGTGGTCTCGATCTCCTGACCTTGTGATCCACCTGCCTCAGCCTCCCAAAGTGCTGGGATTACAGGCATGAGCCACTGCACCCGCCCCTGAACCATAATTCTAACCTGGTGGCCAATTGGTTAGTTTTACAAAGACAGTTTCAGTCCCCACAACGGAGGGGGTGGTTAGTTTTGGCAAGGGACTGTTATCATCTTTGTTTTAAAGTTACACTAGAAACTAACTTCCTCCTGTAGCTAGCTTGGCCTATGTCCAGGGATGACAGCTTATGAGGTTAGAAGCAAGATGGATCAGCTATGTAAGATTTCTATCACTGTCATAATTTTCGCAAAGGCAGTTTCATCAGCTTTTCGGTGCCATAGCCAGTTAGGAGCTACGCCACTGCCCCCACGTTGTTACATCCTTATTTCGAGAGACCAGTTGAGTCTGAGAATCTGGCAGAGTTGGGTGGGTTGTACCCGTCTGTCGAATCTGAGAATCTGGCAGAGTTGGGTGGTTTGTACCCATCTGGCCCTGATGACCTTCCAACGCCCCTGGGGATCAGAGTGGAGCTCAGCTGTATCCTAGGGTTTCCCATGTGTGAGGATGTGGATGCGCTGTGGGTGGCAAGCTAGGGACACACCCCAGAGGGTCTGTAAATCCAGGGATGTGGGTCTTGGCTTCCAACTCCCTCCACTCCTGGGACTTTGCTGGGTTGGAATCACCTGCCCTCCCCAGGCACTGGGACAGGAGCAGACACCATCATAGACATTACTCTCTTTACCTCTTGTATAGGAAAAATCATTGCCTTTATACTATCACTCAACACAGAACGTTTCTGTGACCAAATGTGTGCAGTGTTCCTACACCAAGCAATTCTCCAGTTTTGTAAGGACACCAGCTGAGTGTCCTACAATTGAATTCAATTCTGCCACTGTGTACCTGGAGACAGCAACAGGTCCCACAGATGAAGGGCTACATCCCACAAGATTGCCCCCACTTCAAACAACAATTACAGATCCAGGCTCTCACCCATCCAACTGGAGGGTAAATCAGAGGTCCCCACAACCCCCTCCTCAAGTTTGATCATTTGCTAGTATGGTTTATAGGACTCAGGAAAACAATTTACTTACAGGTAATCAATTTATTATAAAAGGACCCAACTCAGGAACAGCCAGGTAGAAGAGACACACAGGACAAGGCCTGGGGGATGGGGCACATGTCACCCTTCCAGCACCCCACATGTCCAGCCACCAGGAAACTCTCTGAACCCCGTCCTTCTGGGGTTTTATGGATGGGTCATTATGCAGGCATGATGGATTAAATCATTGGCCAATGGTGATCAACTCAACCTGTAGGCCCTCTCCTCCTCCCCAGAGGCCAGGTTTGGGTGTGGGGCCCAAATTCAACTCTCTAATCTCATGATTGTTTCCCCTGGCAAACAGCGCCCCCCATCCTTAAGGGCTTTCCAAAAGGCACCGCACACATGTAAACTTAGGTGTGATTGAAAGGGGCTTGTTATAGGCCGGGTGCAGTGGCTCATGCCTATAATCCTAGCACTTTGGGAGGCTGAGGTGGGTGGATTGCCTGAGCTCAGGAGTTCAAGACAAGCCTGGGCATATAGTAAAACCCTGTCTCTACTAAGATACAAAAAAATTAGCCGGGCATTGTGGCACATGCCTGAAGTCCCAGCTACTCGGGAGGCTGAGGCAGGAGAATCACTTGAACTTGGGAGGCGGAAGACGCAGTGAGCCTGGATTGCACCACTGCACTCCAGCTGGGGCAACAGAGAGACTCTGTCTCAGAAAAACCAAAAAAAAAAAAAAAACAAAAACAAAACAAACAAACAAAAAAAACCAAAAACCAGAAAAGGGCTTGTTATGAATAACAAAAGACTCTCCTTTATTCCTTTATTGTTCCTATCACTTAGGAAATGTACAAGGATTTTAAGAGCTCTGTGTCAGGAATCAAGATGAAGACCAAAATATGTAATTCTTATTCTATCACAGTATCATACCTCTCCACCTGCAGATCTCTGACTGATGGCCCTTAACATTGCGGCAGCCAGGGAAGAGGGGATTGCCAAAGATAATTAGATGAAGGATAACATAGGCTCATTAGCAGGCAAACCTTTTCCAGTTAAAAGATAAGTAAGACTGCAAAAGGATGCTTGAGGCAAATCCGTAGCAACATTATCTTGGAGCTACTTACCAATTGGCCACAAATCTGCAGGAGAGCGTGGCCTGTAGAGGAATGGGGAGAGGGGTCTCTGCATCTGGAGAGCATCTGGGGCTGTATGAGACCAACACCAGGTCTTGGCTGCTTGCTTTGCTTTGGCAATGACCTAAGATTGAAAATGGATGAGTGGCAATTTGGGAGTCTAGCGAAGATGCTTTGCAAATGAACACATTGCCGCAGGGCACCCGTTTTCAGCAGTGAAGCCAGGAATAATTTTCTATCTCATGCTACCTAACTCCTGGAAGTTATCATGAGACCCTTGCAGGTGGATAAACACAGTCTGGAGAGGAATATTTCTCCATTTGTATTGGGACAGCATACCTAAATCTGGGATGTTCAGAGATAATCTGGGCCTCTGCTTGTTAGGGAGAGGAAGAGGACATTCCCAAGACCTTAGCATGGATTGGCATAGAAACCAGAGAGTTCCACATGCATACACCTGTCTCAGATCAGGGTTTCTCAGTGTGGTCTGCTGACCTCGCACATTAGACTCACCTTAAGCACTGATTAAAAATGGGATTCCTTCCCTGCCTTGAGCCTAGTTAAATGAATGAGGTAGTTTTTAAAAATGCAGATGTAGAAAAATCTACAGGTTATGCTAAACAAAAAAAAAAGAAGAAGAAGAAAAAAAAAGCAAGCTGCAAAACTGGATACGATCTAATTCCTTTGGGGTAGAAATGTTGAGAAGGACATATGCCCTGGTATTATAATATTTTTTTTCTAGAAGAATACATTAAAATCTGTGACCAG
Source organism: Homo sapiens (assembly GCF_000001405.40). Classification (NCBI taxonomy): domain Eukaryota; kingdom Metazoa; phylum Chordata; class Mammalia; order Primates; family Hominidae; genus Homo; species Homo sapiens. Next base: position 42,916 of record NT_187616.1, on the reverse strand, counting down.
TTATTTGTGGGAAGAAATACTTGGGGGTAGGGGAGAGACAGTTCTGGTTTTTATTTCAGCTTTTTCTGTTCTATTTGCATTTTAAACACGAACATGTGTTACTTTCGTGCTTTCAAATGTCAGCAGGGATTATCCGGGCATGGGGATTACATGCCAGTTTCTTTTCTCTATGTGCTTTTTGTATTATGAAAATCAATTTTTAAAAATTCACTGGGCGTGGTGGCTCATGTCTGTAATCCCAGCACTTTGGGAGGCCGAGGAGGCCGAGGTGGGTGGATCACCTGAGGTCAGGAGTTTGAAACCAGCCTGGCCAACATGGTCTCTACTAAAAATACAAAAATTAGCTGGGCATGGTGGCGGGTGCCTGTAGTCCCAGCTACTTGGGAGGCTGAGACAGGAGAATTGCTTGAACCCGGGAGGCAGAGGTTGCAGTGAGCCAAGACCACACCATGGCACTCCAGCCTAGGCAACAAGAGCGAAACTCCATCTCAAAAATAAATAAAAATCCATCAATCAATAAAAATGCATTTCCCACTTATTCGTAGTACCAGATTCTCTGGGGAAGGAGACCATGCTTCCGTATTTAACATGCACAAGGTTTGAGAAGCTGACTCTGTCCCAGATGCTTCCAGATGGACACCTTGTCAAAAGCTGGGGCCTCCTCAGTCAGCAGATGTTCTCTGGGCTTCTTGTTACTTTCACTGGTGCCACTTGGGAAGGACAACATGGGGGGCTCGTTTATTTGGGGATGTCCATTTCAAAGGCTCATGCCTGAGCCTTATTCCCAGAAGAACCTCTGACTTCCTTTCAGAGATCAGCTGGAGAAAGCTCTCTCTTTTAAAGATCTCATGGGATTAGGTCAGGCCTACCTGGCTAACCTCCCTGTCTTAAAGTCAGCTGAGCTGAGTTTCGCAGCAGTGAAATTCATCCTATCCATGGGGATTATGCAAAGTGTGTACTCTAGGCAGGGAGAGAGGCAAATGTTGGGTGCCATCTTTAGAGTTCTGTCTATCCGTGGAACTCTAAAGCGAACATTTCTACATTTTTACCATTCATATAATACTTACTGAAGATTTTTTTTTTGTTTTTGAGACAGGGTTTCATTCTGTCACCCAGGTTGGAGTGCAGTGGTGGGATCATGGCTCACTGCAGCCTTGCCTTCTGGGCTCAAACTATCCTCCCACCTCAGCCTCCCAAGTAGCTGGGCCTGTGGCATGTGCCACCCCACCTGGCTAATTTTTTCTTTCTTTTTTTTTTTTTTTTTTTTTTTTTTTTTTTGTAGAGACAGGGGCTCACTATATTGCCGAGGCTGGTCTTGAACTACTGGTCTCAAGCCATCCTCCTGACTTAGCCTCTCAAAGTACCAGGATTATAGGTGTGAGCCTCTGTGCCCAGCCTTACTGAAGATTTTCCGTAGACACATTTTTGATAGATGCTATTATCCTTTTTATTTCTAGCAGTTGGCATCTATGTTCTTAAGTTAGCATGGCCTAAAACTTATTTCTTATGTTACATTCCTCTGGTTTGAATATTGTTGCTTTTATTATTTTTTCCCTCTGAATATTAAGGTTAAAGTTATACCAACCTCATCCAGATCATGCAGAGTTGGGGAGTTTTACTTATTTTTCTTTCTCTCCTCATTTTTCTATTTATTCTCTGGAATAGTTAGCATGGGATGGGGATTATTTGTTCCTCTATAACAAGACGGTCTTTACCAATGTTAAAAGTTAAATTTAGGCACATAAAAACTTTCAAGAGTTTATTTGAGCAGCGAACGATTCATGAATTGGCCAGTATTAAACCACAAGTGATCAGGGCTTTGCCCAGGGTGTGTGAGTAGGAAAACTTCTATAAGGTGTTCCAGGAAGCAAGACTAAGAAAATATCTGATTGGTTAAAGTGGAAAATCCCTAGTTAGAGGTTAGTTGGCAGTTTCTGATTGGCTAAGCTTCAATTTTGTTTTACCATTTACAGTGAGTTGGGTTTTGGTTTGCTTATGTAGGATCCCAAGGCACTAGGGTCATCTCAGCCTAATAGTGTTTCAATTAATTTTTTTAACACTATTAATACCATCTGGGTCTAGTGTGTTTGTGCATAGGTGTGTGTGCGTGTGTGTGTGTGTGTGTGTGTGTGTGTGCGCGCGCACTTCATTCAACACACCAGGGGCTGTCTTGAGGAACAGCCCTTTCTTGTGTGTGGGTATGGCCTGGCTCAAGATTTATACTCCTTCCTCGTATTTTATTTACCATGCATTTTCTTTTTCCTTTTTTAGTACTTCAGTGGATTGATTGATTTTTATTTTCCTCTTTTTATCCCCCTTACGCTTTATTAATTTGGAAGTTTTCAATTCAGTATCTTGTCTGTGTCTCCCTTTCCTTTATTTGTTTGTTTGTTTATTGAGATGGAGGCTCACGCAGTCGCCCAGGCTGGAGTACAGTGGCGCGATCTCAGCTCACCGCAACCTCCGCCTCCTGGGTTCAAGCAATTCTCCTGCCTCAGCCTCCCGAGTAGCTGGGATTACAGGTGCATGCCACCATGCTCGGCTGATTTTTGTATTTTTATTAGAGACGGGGTTTCACCATGTTGTCCAGGCTGGCCTCGAACTCCTGACCCCAAGTGAGCTGCCTGCCTTGGCCTCCTAAAGTGCTGGGATTACAGGTGTGAGCCACCACTCCTGGCTTCCTTTTACTTTCTTTAAACTTGCCTAGTTGACCTAATAACGGTGTTTAAAATTAATCTGCATCTCTCCCCTCCTCCCTACCAATCAGAGGACCTTAGAATGCTTTAATGTTACTACTTTTCCAGTATTTTAGTATCTCCCTTTGTTTGATACCTCCCAAATGAGTTGCTAGTATTGTTATTGTTTTTGTTCGTTTGTATTTTACAATCAATGGTTGCTTCCATTTTCCAACATTTTTGCTAATATCTTTGCTCACCATTGCTTCTTGTGTGAAATTGATTGCCTTTGATTTCTCTTATAATATCTCTTCACTTAGAATCTATGGGGGATTTTAGGATCTGTGAGGGGCTTTAGTTAGTTAGCTAAATAAAGTATTTAGCTCTGACTTTTGAAAGAAAAATCAAATTGCATTTAAATGTGTAGGTTAATAGAAATGTCCATTTCCTTTGGCACTTATTATTCTAATTAGTTGGCATTCATCCATCTGAAGATTTGTGCTTTGCATTGCATTCTCTGTAAGCATTATAAAAATGCACACAGCAGCAGCTTCATTTCAAGTTTTTGTCTTTCTCTCTGGTTGTGTATACATTTTTTTTCATTTGTCTTTAGTGGTTTTCAGTTTCAGTATGATGTGATTGTGTGTGTGTTTGTATGTGTGTCTATGTATTATTTATCTTAAGATTTGGTATACTACTTTAAAGTGAACACTTGTCTCGTGGAAAACAATTTTTTCAAAGACCTGGGGGTTGTGGGGGATGGTTCTGGGATGATTCACACACATTACATTTATTGTGTACTTTATTTCTATTATTGCATTGTAATAGATAATGAAATAATTATACAACTCACCTAACCTAGAATCAGTGGGAGCCCCGAGCTTGTTTTCCTGCAACTAAATGGTCCCATCTGGGGGTAATGGGAGGCAGTGACAGATCATCAGGCATTAGATTCTCATAAGGAGCATGCAACCTAGATCCCTCACATATGCAGTTCACAATATGGTTCGTGGTCCTGTGGGAATCTGATGCCACTGGTGATCTGACGGGAGGTGGAGCTTAGGTGGTAACGTGAACGATGGGGAGCGGCTGTCAATACAGATGAAGCTTCAACTGCTTGCCTGCCGCTCACCCCCTGCTGTGCAGCCTGGTTCCTAACAGGCCATGGACGGATACTGGTTCATGACCCAGGTATTGGGGACCCCTGCTTTAAACTGTTCTTGATATTGTCCATCTCTTCCTCTCTCTGATTTAGATTTATCCTCCAGCTCATTGGTTAGTCATTGAGCCAATATCCGACTATCTAATTTGTCTGTTGAGTTTTCAATAGAAATGACTGTGGATTTTATTTTGTAGTTGTTCGAGTGGGTTCGTCTGTTTTTTCTTGGTTGTATGTGGTTATTTTGGTTTTAATTTCTTCTTTTAGGTCTTGAATAAGGTTAGGCTGTTTTATATTGTTTTAAAAAAGAGCTATTACACAAAGGTTCTGCTTCTCTCTGTCGGTGGTGCCTGCTGACTCTCATGCATGGAGTGCTGATTTCTCTTAGACCTTTCAGCTTTTTAACGTCAGTCCTTCTCTGGTGGCTGCATTTTTCCTTGAGGGTCTTCAGCGTCCTGGATCATGGGAGCGTATTTTTTTTTAGAGTAGGTTTGCATTTGTTTCTGTAACATCCTTTGAGAGCCTCGTTACCCTGGAACCAGCTTTTATGTTGATGTTTATGGTGGGGTTTTTCTAGCCAATGTAGAAAGTAGAAACTCATACCCTGACCTTTGCAAGGTGTAGGCCCAAAGTTGTTTTTTTTTTTTTTTTTCGAGCAGTTTTTTTCTTCAGAGACCACATAGAAACATATGAGCATCCTTTTTGTCTCTCTCTGTTGGTGCATAATTTTTTCCCCCTATTTCACCTGTCTGCATAGGGGCAGAATTCCATGAATCTTGCATTTGTAAAATTTCAGCCCCTGGTGTGTGTGTTCCAGGGCCTCCCCTTTACCTCCATGTGGACAGTAACACCCAGGCCCCTGTTCCTGGGACCCATATTCACCCCAAGGCAACCTCTGAACTGGTTTTGGTGTTTAAGGCTCCGGTTTCTAGTTTCTCATCATTAATGATTTCCTTCCTTTGTTGCAAACTTGTACCTGCATTTAAAACATTTTTTTGTTGTTGCTGTTCATCTCACCCATCATTTCTAGGTGTTTGTAGAGGGAGATTTTGGTTTATCTTTATCCTTCATCTTGCTGGAATCAGATAGATGGCTAGTCAAAATTTAAATTTGCAAAACAGCCATGCTTTCATCTTTACTCCCTAGCTGGGTCCTTCGTGTTCTGGGCTCGGCCAGGGAACAGCCTTTCTTCTGCATCATGTCCTGGAGCTTCTTGTATCTTTCTCAAGACTTATAACTTGACATTTCCACAAATTCCACAATAAGATGAAAATACAAACAAATGTTCACAATCACCCAGACTGACAGGGAGCAGCGGGTTAGGACTTCTGTTGGGCTCTTAGGCAGGGAGGGAATTTTTTAGTGGGAGGACTAATTTTATAAGTGGTGAGTTCATCAGTGAATATTTTTGGATTACGAGCATGTTTATTTTCCTGTTCCACCTTGCAGAATGGAGAAATAGTGGCTAGGATCGACCCCAAGACACGTTTTCCATGTGTATCTATGGTGTTCAGAATCGTTATGTTAGGGGACTCACGACTGCAGTAACAGGGGACCCCGGTTAACCCTTTCACAGCCCATGGCTTATTTGGTGAGGCCATTAGATGTCCACCTTTAGCTGGGCTCAGCCTGTCCTATGAAGGACAGATCTGCAGGTAAAGCCCAAATCGGTTGGTCTGCATTTCTCACAGGGTGGATCTGGCTCTAGACAAGATCAGAATTCCCCGGGTTGCTAGGAAAAAAAAAAAAAAAAAGCCGATGCTTATATTCTGTCTCTGATTTGCCTAAACCAACTATCTGGTGGATGAGGCCAGGAAATCTGCATTTTATGCATTTTGTCCATATATGCATAGGCAAGGAATATGCATTTTAAATCTCCAGGTAATTCGTAGTCATAGTGTGAGAAAAGGTGGCCCCGGTGAGGTGGTGATGGCAAAGCCAATGCAGTCTTAAGAATCCTTTGGGCAAACAATTTCTTTTGAGATGGATTGGCAGTGAACAGAGAGAACCTAGGCGTCTTGGGTTGCTTTTTGCTTGAGTATGGTGAGAGGAGAGGGTTCAGTCTCAGTGGTTTATACAGTGACTCAACTTTAGAGATGTTTTATGGGTTTTCCCCTGTTTTTCTGTTTTGGTGGCAGAGAGGGATGGTTAAAGTCATTTGGTGACGTGAATGGAAAGGGGAAAAAGGAGGCAGGAGAAAATCTAATTGAGCATTAACTTCCTTGAGCTTCGTATTAAGACATTGCCTGGATTTCAATTAAGTAAAGCACCTTCTTTCCCATCCCTGGTTGCTCGTGCGTTGCCATGGCAGCAGGCACGCTGCAATCTGTAGCCCACCCCTACCACCTGCCTCTGGCATGGGCGATTCTACAAGGCTTACTGAGCCAGGACCTGACTGTCTGCAGACTCTGGTCTGCAGTGGCAAAATAAGGGACAGATGTCAGTGAGGAGGTCAGAACTTGCCACTTGAGGTGGTTTATGGGGTAGACTCTAATATTAAACTTCAAGAAAACGTGACAGGCGGCTGTGTCTGGGTGGGATATTGGGTTCCTGCTCACATACTTTGGACTGGATTTGGGAGCCTTATGAGTAGAACCATCACAGGTTATTCCACACTCACTCTCCCAGTGTCTAGGGTCTGAGTCCCTCCTTGGGTTTCCCTTGGGTCCTCCGAGAACAGAGTTTGTCAGAGTGAGTTGCATATGCTGACACTTGCTCTTGTGTTGCTCCTGGCTTGGTAAATGGGGGAGATTATGGAATCTGTCATCCTAAAAGAGATTCCAAGAAGAGGAACATGTTCTTGGCAAAAGGTAATTTGCTTCGTTTGGGGCAAGGTGTGTAAAATGAGAGTATAATGCCCAAGTGAAGATCCCCACTAAACAGTTAGCAAGAGGTCCGGGCTCTTGGGAGCCCAGCTTAGGAGTTTATTTTTAATGGGTTTCCTTTGTGTTTTCCCCTAGATCTATCTTCCTCCTCTGAATTAAGTTACCTGGAGTAGCAGTCAGACCTGCAGACTCCCAAGCCCTGCCTGGGTCTACTGTGGAGTCCAAGAATCTGCACTTTGCTCAAGCTCCCCAAGTGCTTTTGTGGGGTTTTCTTGTCGTTTGTTTTGTGTTTTGTTTTTGCCTGCTCAAGCTCAAGAACCACTGTAAAATATCGTTAACTTGGGCTGGGCTCAGTTCCAGTCTTCTACCATACAGCTACTCACAGTCTGCTCCCGCATGCACATGTGGCCTCAGCTTCCCACCTTTCTTTGTGTAATAGGAGCCACAGGGTTGAATTGAGGATAATTGCCTCTTCATCTTCCAGCCCTGTGGTCCTTTTTTTTTAACCTTAGTGGGCAGTACTCATCTGAACACTAGGACAATCTGTATTTCTCAAACCTTCATTTTTCAGCAAGACATGTCTGCCCGTAGCTGAAATGGAAAGAAAACAAAGCTCTCAGCAGCCACCTTGCTCCTTCTCAAAACCTTTGCTGAATGGCATTTGTTTTCCATTAGGAACTAAGCCATTCTTTGTGTGTCCCTGTGGTCCTTGTCTAAGTAGGAACAGGATGGGAAAGGATGCTCCCAGCCTGGCAAACGTTTCTGCTCTGCTCCATTAATTCTTAGGGTTCACCAAGCAGGGTCCATTCTTGAACATCAGGGCAGCCTCCTTTGTCCTCATATTGATTTCACTAAGTCCCATGCTGTTTGATTTCTAATTTATTTTTTTCCTCCTGTCTCAGAACCAACGTTTTTCTTGGCTCTGTTAGCTCCACGCAACCTCAGGTCAGCCTTTGTCTGTCAGCCTCCCTTCTGACCCAACACTTCCATCTCAGAAAGCAGAGGCTTCAAGAATTTAGCCTCCCTGCACTGGGAGTCTGTGTGGAACCTTAAGTCTCTTGGGCATCTTGGCATAGCACTAATTGGATTCATTAAAAGAAGACAGCCATCTTTTGAAAAGGCAATGGCCCCTGACTCAACAAAAAAATGGCAGAGAAAGAGATGTATTTCCCTTGCTAGGAGCTGCATTTGAATGGGTTGATTCATGGTTTTGGTTTTTGTTTTTTTCAGGAACCAGTTTTCCTCCTGACCATTTCCTTTATTATCATTCATTTCATATGGACAAATCCATGGACCACAGAGTGGTGCTTGTTCTTCCTGGCAATTAGCTGTCTCATGCTATTTCATTAAGTTTCAATGTCTCAAGTGAATTTCTAAAAGTCATATATATATACAATTTTTGAACAAAAATCAGCCTGAAAATAGAAATATAATGGCTTAATGAAATAGCATTGGATATATATATATATATATATATATATATATAATCTCCAATGTGTGTATATATATATCCTATATATATCCAATATATATATTTTATATATATATATATATATATATATATATATATATATATATATATATAATGTGTTGTATATAGATGGTGCATGTATTTACCCATGTATCTGTGTGTATATATCTTATCCATCTGTCTGTCTGTCAATCTGTCTATCAAGCATAGTCTACTCTGGATAACCAGCCAGCCAGCATGCTTTAAGGATGCTAGCGACCTACTTTATTCCCATCTTCCTGGCTGCAACATTTTTTAGGAAGTGCAAACTTGTGTCAGTGTTAGCCTAAGTAAACGACATGAGAGGAGTGCATCCACTATTTAAAAATAAAAAACACAAAGTGACTTCATATTCCAAAGCAGTGTAGACTATCTTGAAGGGCAGCAGTCCCCTCCTTTTATTGATGGAAAATCTCTATTATCTTTAGCAGTGGGTGATCCTTTCTGAAGGTTGAAAATGTCAGCGTGAACATGGAATTTTAAAAAGTGTTGCTATTATAGCCAAGGCATGCTTTCACTCTGCTGACATGGAGAATTGGCATTTGATGGTATTTGAAAATTCTGCACCAAATCTTATCATAATCTAATTTTTTTCTCCTCCACCATGGGCCTCTTGCCCTTTTGGATTTAAGTTAAAATGGATTAGGTGTACTAGATGACATTACTCTTTCTTTTATATTTTTATAAGTGCAATACTAGTTCGTGGCAGAAACTAGAGAATGTGGTTTGTGTTGTACGTGTTATGTGCTAGATGGGTCCTATACCTACTCTCATCCACTCTCCACAACAATCCTGTAGAGTGGGTAATACTATTACCCTCGTTTGGCAAGTGCATAAACTGAGGCGCAGAGGGTATCAATGAGCATCCCCAAAGATGCATAACCAGGAAATGGTCGCCCTGATGCATGAACATGTATGGGCAGAAAAACAGTTGCTTTACAGTGAGTGAATGCAGTTGGCCCAGGTTCTCAGTCCCCCAGAATCATTGTTCCTGCTTTCTTTGCAATGACACCGATAGTCCTCCTTGTCAATACCTCAGAGAAAAAGGAAAAGAGAGAATCCTGAAGAAGTAAGAAAAGAGGAACGTGCACCAAGCCTGGTACGGGTTTTTCGCTTGTCTCCCTGAGCTGTGCCTGCTGGGAGGACTGGTTGCCTTTGTCCAGCATGCCAGCAACTTAGGTTGTCCCCACCTGTGCCCCCACCTGCCTGCACCTACCATCCTTTGATTTGATTGACAATCCCCAGGAGAGGAACTGGAGGAAATGACAGACTCATAAACTGTGCCCAACTTTTAATCTGCATGTGGGCACATACATGTGTATATTCTGTCTCGCACACATACACACACAGAATGAACATTCAGAAGAGATGAGTAAGGGGAAACTTCTGGGACTCACAGCAATTGTGGCTTTCTACCCTGGTACTCCTGGTGAGGGAAATGGTGGATCCCATGTCTGAATCACTTTTGCTGATCCTGTGAATGGGAAGATGGTGGCGAGACTAGCAAACTAGCAGGAAGCAAACATGATCTGCCAAGGGCACCCATCGTTGTGCAGGACTACTCTGTCATAGTGCTGCCTGTGGGTTTTTCTTTCCATGCTCCACTACCCACCTTCAACTCAAACCTTGGCAAAAGTTTGCCACGATCCCATTTGATTTGTGTTCTCTTTCTTTTCTTTCTTTCCTTCCTCCCCTCCCCTCCCCTCCCCTCCCCTCTCCTCGTCTAGTCTCTTTTCTTTCTTGATGGAGTCTCACTCTGTCGCCCAGGCTGGAGTGCAGTGGTGCGATCTCTGCTCACTGCAAGCTCCACCTCCCAGGTTCATGCCATTCTCCTGCCTCAGCCTCCCAAGCAGCTGGGACTACAGGCGTGCGCCACCACGCCCAGCTAATTTTTTATATTTTTAGTAGAGACGGGGTTTCATTGTGTTAGCCAGGATGGTCTTGACCTCCTAACCTCATGATCCGCCTGCCTCAGCCTCCCAAAGTGCTGGGATTACAGGCGTGAGCCACCGCGCCCGGCTGACTTGTGTTCTTTTTCATGGAGAAAACCCAGTTTCAGAGAATTGTCATTCTTCTTTAGTTGGGACCTCATTCTTGTAGTTTGTTTTTTTTTTTTCCTTAACTGTGGTAAGTTTACCTTTGCGCTGAGTTGTTTCTTGAGTGGATTAATAGTATGAAAATATTGTTGGTGAAATAATTAGCTGATTAAGAAAACAAACTTTTCGAGAAAATCATTTAGCTGCATTTACATAATGTGTAAATTATGTGCATCTCAACGATTTGCTAATTACTCCTTAAGAGCTCATGCTGATTACAAATGAGCCCCACCCAATCTGTGAATGATCCTCAGAGCCTTGATATGGCTTCACTTTCCTAGGCTTGTAGGTAACACTAACACAGGGATTATTTTCTCCTTTAAAGAATACAGGTGCATCTGTCCACTGCAGGTTGTCTGTGACACAGTATATTTCGTAATGACCTTCACTCTCTCCTCCAGACGAGGATTGTCTCTGATCCTCCTTGTGGAAGGCTGGTCCTTGGGTGGGCCTAGGCAATTCAGTTCTTCGGGAAACAGAAAGGCTCTAGATAAATTCTCTGTGGATCATTGATCACCAAAAGATCTGAGTCTTAAAGCATCTTGAAAGTCCTGCTTTTATTAGTCTATATCCGGGATCAGCAAAGTATAATTTGCAGACCACATCTGGCTTGCTGCCTGATTTTGTGTTAATAAATAAAGTTTTATTGGAATACAGACACACCAGCTCATTGACCCATTGTTTGCAGCTGCCTTTGGGTGACACTGGCAGAGTTGAGTAGTTGCAACAAAGCCGACCCACAAAATCTAACATATTTTCTATCTGGACCCTTACCAAGAGAGTTTGCCAGCCCTTGATCTCTATGTTTGTAAAATAGGCCTTTGGATAAATCAATATTGGTCTATCAATAAGATGGGATATTGTGGAGTGAGGTTCTTAGCCTTAAAAAAGTTTATCAACTCTTTAAAAGATGTGCAAAATGTTCTGTGTAGGTGTGCGTGGACATTTTTTTCAGGAAAGAACATCCGTTGGCTTTCCTAATACATTTCCAATGAATTACAATATCTGAGTACCTACTATGTGCCAGGCACTGTGCTAGATACTGTAGCTGTGGTTGTGAGCAATGCAGGCCCAGGTACTTCTTCATGCAGTTTATGGACATGAGAGGTGGTGGGCCCAGAAGCAGATGACAGATAAATGATGTACTTGAAAATGGGAAATACAATGGAAAATCAGGCTGCCAAAATATAGCTTCCCACTTCATACACATGTTCTTTCTGCTATATTATTTAAGCTGAGCTTGAAGAAATAATCAGAGACCACTCATGAAGATAACATTTATACCACAGATGTCTCAGAGTAGGATGCATTGGCCCTTTGAAGTTCAACTAACATTCCGCCAATTTTTTAAGTGGTGATTTATAATTCCTGTCCAGCTCACTTTTATTATCCTAAGCACCAAAGCTTTCTAGAGGCCTGGAAGATAACTGGATGTGCCTGACTTTGAAGTAATTTGAGCAACGAACACACCTTTTTTTTTTTCTTTTTTTGAGACGGAGTCTCAATCTGTTGCCGAGGCTGGGGTATAGTGGCGCAGTCTCGGCTCACTGCAATCTCCACCTCCCAGGTTCAAGGGATTCTCCTGCCTCAGCCTTCCAAGTAGCTGGGATTACAGGCATGCGTCACCACACCTGGCTAATTTTTGCATTTTTGGTAGAGGGGGAGTTTTGCCACGTTGGCCAGGCTAGTCTTGAACCCTGACCGCTAGTGGTCCACCCGCCTTGGCCTCCCAAAGTGCTGGGATTACAGGCGTGAGCCACCGTGCCCAGCCACATCTTTTTTTCTAACAGAAAAACAAACAAACAAACAAAAACAAACCTTGAGTACATATTCTTAGTTCTCTGTTTGGCTACTGGAAATTCTGCGCTTTGCCCATCTTGACCTCTAATAGCTAAAGGAAATGTGGTTGAGAACCACTGATAGAGGAGAATATTTAATGATATGCAATATGTTCATGTTTTAATGCTATGGAAAATTATGCTTCAAAATTCAGCTGAAAAAATGTGTATGTGTGTGGATGTATATGTGTTCATCTCTATGTGGGCATATCCAGTATAAATATAAAAATATTAAGGGTTTTTTTTTTTTTGAGACAGAGTTTTGCTGTTGTTGCCCAGGCTGGAGTGCAATGGCGTGATCTGAGCTCACTGCAACCTCCGCCTCCCAGGTTCAAGTGATTCTCCTGCCTCAGCCTCCCAAGTAGCTGGGATTGCAGGCGCCCGCCACCACGCCCGGCTACTTTTGTATTTTTAGTAGAGACGGGGTTTCTCCATGTTGGTCAGGCTGGTGTCGAACTCCTGACCTCCAAGGTGATCGCCCGCTTTGGCCTCCCAAAATAAGCACGATAAAGGACTAAAAATCATTCATCACCCAGAGGCGACAGCCTTTAAAAAATTCTTAATCTTGGCCAGGTGGAAGCACGATAAAGGACCTGGCCAAGATTAAGAATTTTTTAAAGGCTGTCGCCTCTGGGTGATGAATGATTTTTAGTCCTTTATCGTGCTTATTTTCTAAATTTTCTCTAATGTATGGGAATTTCTGTATTAACAAAATATTTTAATAAATCTTAAGAGAAAATCTTTTAAAAAAATTTTAGGGCACAATGAGACACCACTTCCTCTGGGCAAATGCATTTGCTCCTCATTTAGTGGACATTCTTATTTTATGAGCAGTTGGAATGTGCTGTCCTTGAAGCTCATCTTGGGGAATTTCTTGGGTTAGAGCAGAATTCTAGAAGCACTGGCACTGGAAATACCTGTTCTCTCCAACTCACAGGGGATGAGTGATCATTTAGGTGGGCTGAGTCAGAGGCTATTGCTGCCCTGGAAAGGGGGAGTGTTTACGCTAGAAGTGGCCCTGAAGTCTATCTAATTTGGCTCCTTTACGGATGGAAGCAGCTAAGACCTTTAGGGGTTGCAACCATTGCTAGGGTTTCACGCAGAAAACTGGAGATAGAATTGGCCCATGGATTCTATGCAGTGGATTCCATGCAGTGGATTCCATTCATCTGTGTCTTTCTAAAGGGAGTGGAAGAGCTGGGGTAAATTTGATGGAGTCTAGAATACTGAAGGCGTAAATGGCGAAATACATGAATAAGGCTTCCCAAGGGTGGCTTTTCCCCTGCTCCTTCCTTCCTTCTCCCTCCCCTTTTCCTCCTCTGGCTGCTTAGCACCCACATCCCTTGGCTATGTTGGGGAATCTCTTCTTCTCCCCACCTTGTGGGTCTTGGTGGAAGGCAGACCTGCCTTTCAGGATAGAAGTTGGATTTCAGGCTGGGTGTGGTGGCTCACACCTGTAATCCCAGCACTTTAGGAGGCCAAGGCGGGTGGATCACCGGAGGTCAGGAGTTCGAGACCAGCCTGGCCAACATGACGAAACCCTGTCTCTACTAAAAATACAAAAATTAGCCAGGCGTGGTGGTGTGCACCTGTAATCCCAACTACTCAGGAGGCTAAGGCAGGAGAATCGTTTGAACTCTGGAGGCAGAGGTTGCTGTGAGCCAAGATGATTGCACGCCAGCCTGGGTAACATAGTGAGACTCTGTCTCAAAAAAAAAAAAAAAAAAAAAACCACCAAAAAAACCCACCAAAGTTGGATTTCAGACTTCAGACCTTCCCTTTCTTGGGTCCTCTCCCAGCCACAGGTGACCTTGGCTTGGCCAGTCAGATGGACTTAATAGATGGGGCTGCCAGCAGGGGGCCAGCATTGTGTCAATAACCTAAGCTGAGGCATTTGATGTCCAGCACCGGGGACAGAGGTGCTGCCCCAAGGCTGTTGTCGTGGCATTTTGTCTGTGGAACAAGAAGCCCTGGTCTTCCTTGTCCCTGCCTGGGTTCCCAAATGGAATCTGCAGCTTCAAGAGGGGAAGCGCCCCTTGAGTCCCTCAGGACCCTTCTAATGGATGAGTAGCTGGTAAACTTGCCCAGGTAAAACCTCAGCTTTCCTGGCCTTCTTGTAACAAAGACAAGCAGCAAAACCTACATTTCCAGGCATGTGCTCGTCTTTTTCTTTTTCCGTCGTCCTCTCCAGTGATGATCCTTTGTTTGGCATCAGTTTTTTACATCCTGAAAAGCCAGAAAACCCAGACATCAAGAAATGTCTATGAAATGTTAGTGCGATTTAAGCCATTTTAGTTCCGCATTTTCCCTTCACTTATGTGACCTTTGACGAAAGATTCTCGTTTTTGGTGTAGTTTACAGAATAGAATACTATTTGCAAATACTGGCAATGTGTATACTGTCTCGATTGTAGCAACTAACAGTTTTCGTGAATATTGTCATGTTTTGATTTCTGGCGACCAACTCCTAGGACAAGAGAGGAAGTGGGAAATTGTATAACTCGAGAGATGTGTTTGAGACATAGCCTCAGGGAAGATGCAAGAATTCCTTGGTTTGGGGGAATTTATTTTTCTGTCACCTCATCTGCTGTGGTTGCATTTGCTTGTCTGTCCGAATTGTGATAGCCCATATTCTCTTTTTTTTTTTAAAAAAAAAGAGGGAGAGAAGATTTTTATTTGATATAAGAAAATGGTTTCTGTCAGGGCAATTCAATTCGTTCCCACCTTCTAGTCTTAAATTCCTTTGCTGTCCCCTCTGTGTCTTTGAAACAGAAGCACATGTATCCTTCGGTGTCCAGATATAAATAATATAACTAAGAATCAAGTATATCCCTGTTCATTACCCTGAGACACCTAATGGGACAGTAATAGTTGGACTGAAGTCTGTTTAGGTTCAGAGGAGGTACCTGGACTAACTTGTAGTTGGGCAGTCTAAAACGTTGATGTTCAAAACTTAGTTTGTATCAGAATCATCATGGGATGAGTGTGGATTGGGAGGGATATGGCTTGAACAATGCAGATTCCTGAGTCTGTCTCCAAAAGACTCTAGTAGCTCCAGGGTGGGTCCAGGAGTCGGTGTTTTGGGAGCTCCCACTGTAACACTGCACCAGGTGGTCTTCACCCAACACTTGGAGATGCAGCAGTCAAAGCTGTTCACCCTTATTCTTAGAACTAGAGATGACAGAGCAGCAGTACCTCAAGGGCAAAGTGAGCCACATGACAATTAAGTTAATGTTATCAGTTGAACAGGAGCCCTGAAGTAGGTACTATTCTCTTGTCCACCTCCTCCTTGACCTGGTAATTGACAACCATGTAAGTTGACCATGGGGAGGTTGGGAGTCCACTGCAAAGCTCTTGTAAGTATTGATGTTCTCCAAAATACGCTTTCTCCAGTAATTGTGCTGGGACTTTTTTTTTTTTTTTTTTTTTTTAAGCAAATGTCCTTTGCTGGTGGACCCTGCGGAAGCTATGATGGCCTCCCTCCCACGGGGCATTTGCATTGACCATGCATGTTCAGGGTGAGCTGAGAAGGAGTGGAGAGGTGACTCTGGAGCCCATGTGGGATTTGTTTTTAGACCAAAATTAATTCATTGGGAGTGAGCTCATGCTCATGAAATGGTTGTTTGTGCCTTTATGAAGTAGAAGAGCTCACCTGGTAGGTGGACTTTTAATATTATTAGACATTTTGGCTCTGTCACCTGAGAGTAGAAATTATCTTACTTAGATACTTGGAACAAGGAACGTTGAAGTGGGTGGTCTGCTTAATGGATGAGAAATCTTTAGCAAACAGTGAACCCAGTTTCTTTTCTGGTGTGCATTTAATTTTCACTAGTTATAGTTATGCAGATCTATTTGTATCTGTGTTGTCACTAAGCAATTGCTTATTCATAAGCATCAGAGGTAAGACATAGATGACTTTCTGTGCCTGGGAAAACATGTACTGACTACAATTGAATCAGCCTCCTTACACAGGCAGTGTTTGACCTTCTGATAATCACGTGGCTTGTGATTATCAGCGTGATAAATGGAAATATCTATTATAGTTAAAAAGTATATAAATAAGTTCATGATCACATCACCTAAACTTCAGATGCTTCTCTGCTTAAAGGTTAGGAACTAAACATAATATATACATATTTATTTTTATTTTTATTTTTTTGAGAGGGAGTCTCGCTCTGTCACCCAGGCTGGAGTGCAGTGGCATGATCTCAGCTCACTGCAACCTCTGCCTCCTGGGTTCAGGCAATTCTCCTGCCTCAGCCTCCCAAGAAGCTGGGACTATAGGCGTGTGCCACCATGCCTGGCTAAGTTTTTGTAGCTTTAGTAGAGACAGGGTTTCACCGTGTTAGCCAGGATGGTCTCGATCTCCTGACCTTGTGATCCGCCAGCCTTGGCCCATAATAAATATTTTAGTTATCTTTCTATGAAGTTTTCTTGGTCTCCAGTGGAATCTTCTCCTGCCCTGGGCTACACGTGGCCCATGTAGCACATCCTGCATAGATTTTACATGGAGATGAATATGTGGCTGCTCTCAGGGTAGAGTGCAGTCAGCTTGCTCAACTCCATAGAACTTGGTCCCTAAATTGGGTCTGTGGAGCAGGAAGTCCTGGTCTCCCTTGTCCCTGCCTGGGTTCCCAAGCGGGATCTGCAGCTCCAAGAGGAGAAGTGCCCCTTGAGCCCCTCAGGGGCTCAAGTAGAGTTGTCAGTTCAAATACAGGTTACCTTGCTACATTTGAACTTCAAATAAACAATGAACACCTTGTTGCATAAGTAGATCCCATGCAATATGTGGGATATACTTACACTAAAACAATCTTGGTTTTATCTGAAATTTAAACATAACTGGGCATCCTGTCTTTACTTGCTAAATCTGGCAACCCTAGCAAGGAGCCTGTCCACAATAGGTGCTTTGTATTTGTGTGCACTGATTACAAAACTCCTGTGTTGTTTACAAGAATTCCCAAGCTATGAGGGAAAGAAGATTAGAGAAGCTCTTGTACATCCTCTTCTTTTGAAAAGAGTGATGCTTGTCATGCTGAATGGGGAAAAGGTGGAAGCAATTCCCTTGGAAACCAGAGCAAGACAAGGCTGCCCTCTGTCACCACTCCTATTCAACATAGTAATGGAAGTCCTGGCCTAAGCAATCAGTCAAGAGAAAGAAATACAGGGCATCCAAATAGGAAGACAGGAAATCAAACTATTCCTGTTTGCATATGGCATGATTCTATATCTAGAAAACTGTATAGTCTTGGCCTAAAAGCTTCTTTAGCTGATAAACAACTTAGGCAAAGTGTCAGAATACACAAAGTGTCAGTATACAAAATCACTGTACAAAAATCACTAGTATTTCTATATGCCAACAATAGCCAAGCTGAGAACCAAACCAGGAACGCAATACCATTCACAATTGACCCCAGAAGAATACAATACCTAGGAATACAGCTAACCAGGGAGGTGAAGGATCTCTACAAGGAGAATTACAAAACACTGCTCAAAGAAATCAGAGATGATACAAACAAATGGAAAAACATTCTATGCTTATGGAGATAGGAAGAATCGATAGTATTAAAATGCCTATACTGCCACAAAGCAATTTACAGATTCAATGCTATTCCTATCAAACTACCAATGACATTCTTCACAGACTAGAAAAAACTATTTTAAAATTCATATGAAACCAAAAAGGAGGCCAAATAGCCAAAGCAATCCTAAGCAAAAAGAACAAAGCTGAAGGCATCACATTTCCGAACTTCAAACTATACCATAGGACTACAGTAACCAAAACAGCATGGTACTGGTATAAAAACAGACACATAGACTAATGGAACAGAATAGAAAACCCATATATAAGGCTGAACATCTACAACCATCTGATCTTCGACAAAGCTGACAAAAATAAGCAATTGGGAAAGGACTTCCTATTCAATAAGTAGTGCTTAGATAACTGGCTAGCCATATATATAGAAATTAAACTGGATCCCTTCCTTACACCATATACAAAAATCAACTCAAGATGGATTCAAGACTTAAGTCTAAAACCCAAAACTATAAAAACCCTGGTAGACAACCTAGGAAATACCATTCTGGACATAGGAACAGGGAAAGATTTCATGGTAAAGATCCCAAAAGCAATTGCAACAAAAGTGAAAATTGACATATGGGATCTAATTAAACTTAAGAGCTTCTACACAGCAAAAGAAACTATCAACAGAGTAAACAGACAACCTACAGAATGGGAGAAAATTTTTGCAAACTATGCATCTGACAGATATAATATCCAGCATCTGTAAGGAGCTTAAACACATTACAGGAAAGAAACAACCCCATTAAAGAGTGAGCAGAGGACACGAACACTTTTCGAAAGAAGACATAGATGTGGCCAACAAGCATATGAAAAAAATCTCAACACCACTGATCATTAGAGAAATGCAAATCAAAACCACAATGAGATACCATCTCACACCAGTCAGAATGGCTATTATTAAAAAGTCAAAGAATAACAGATGCTGATGAGGTTGCAGAGAAAAGGAAATGTATACATTGTTGGTGGGAGTGTAAATTAGTTCAACCGTTGTTGAACTAAAGCACTGTGGCAGTTCCTCAAAGTGCTAAGAACAGAACTACTGTTCAACCCAGCAATCCCATTACTGGGTTTATACCCAAAGGAATAGAAAGCATTCCACCATAAAGACACATGCACATCAATGTTCATTGCAGCACTATTCACAATGGCAAGGACATGGAATCAACCTAAATGCCTATCAGTGACAGGTTGGATAAAGAAAATATGGTACATATATACCATGGAATACTATGCATCCATAAAAAAAATGAGATCATGTCTTTTTTGGGAACACAGATGGAGTTGGAGGCTATTATCCTTAGCAAACTAATGCAGGAACAGAAAACCAAATGCCAGTTGTTCTCACTTACAAGTGGAAGTTAAATGATGAGAACTTGTGGACACAGAGAAGGGAACAACAGACACTAGAGCCTGCTTGAGGGTGGAGGGTGGGAGGAGGGAGAGGATCAGAAAAAGTAACTATTGGGTACTAGGCTTAGTACCTAGGTGACAAAATAATTTGTACAACAAACCCCCGTGACATGAGTTTACCTGTATAACAAACCTGCACATGTAGCCCTGAACCTAAAGTGAAAGTTTTTTAAAAAAGAATGTGGTGGCTTACGCCTGTAATCCCAGCACTTTGGGAGGCCAAGGCAGGTGGATCACCTGAGGTCAGGAGTTCAAGACCAGCCTGGCCAACATGGTGAAACCCCATCTCTACTAAAAATACAAAAATTAGCCGGGTGGGGTGGTGCATGTCTGTAGTCCCAGCTACTCTGGAGGCCGAAGCAGGAGAACTGCTTGAACCTGGGAGGCGGGTGTTACAGTGAACCGAGATTGCGCCACTGCATTCCAGCCTGGGTGACAGAGCAAGAATCTATCTCAAAAAAGAAAAAAAAAAAGTTTTAATATTGAAAGAGACAATTGCCTGAGAAAATTAGCTTTCAGGATCATACTACATAGTTCCATAAGGAAAGCAGGTAATACTTTTTTTTAAAGCCCTATAATGTCTTGAGGAATCTCAAAAAGGAATTTTAAAATTTGAGGCTAAAACTCCAACTTGGCCAAGTGGATACGTCTGTCTGATGTATAATAATACCTGCTACTCCCAGCTAGGTCTCATTGACAAACCTAAGCGGATCACAGGAAAATTACCAGTGTCTGTAAATAATTAGCTAATCATATTACTGTTATTTAAAGAGGCCTCATTTGGGCAGCAGGCATCTTTCAAAAGAGGAAAGAAATATGCCTGAAATTGAAAAATGTTCCACCTCACTTGTAGTCAAAGAAATACCCATTAAGAGAAATGTCATTTGCCCCATAAATAAATATACTTATTTCAAGATGAGAAATACCAGGGCTAAGAAGCGGCATAATGAGAACTTGCAAACTCTGTTCATGGGTAAGTGACACAGCCTTCCTGGAAATTTATTAGGGAATTGTATCATGGCCCTTTGATCAACAGTTCAACTTCTGGGAACTTTGTCCAATTTCTGATTGTTTATATACATTAAAGGTTTTACAGTGATATTTATAAGAAAAAAAGTCTAGAAATAGCCAAAAGTTCCCATCATATGAGAATGTAAATAATAATTTGTGTTACCTGAAACTAGACTGATTCTTTGGGAAACAAGAAGGCAGGGACAATATAAGTTGATCCCCTTCTATTCTGCTTTTTTTTTTTTTGAGACGGATTCTCGCTTTGTCGCCCAGGCTGGAGTGCAGTGGCGCCATCTCGGCTCACTGCAAGCTCCGCCTCCCGGGTTCACGCCATTCTCCTGCCTCAGCCTCCCAAGTAGCTAGGACTACAGGTGCCCGCCACCACGCCTGGCTAATTTTTTGTATTTTTTAGTAGAGACGGGGTTTCACTGTGTTAGCCAGGATGGTCTCGATCTTCTGACCTTGTGATCTGCCCACCTCGGCCTCCCAAAGTGCTGTGATTACAGGCGTGAGCCACCACACCCGGCCTCTATTCTGCTTTTGATTGGCCTTTGGTTTTGTTTGTGTATACATACTACTTAATGAATATATGTTGCTGGCCACTCTTCATTTTGTTTTGTAACAGGGGTTTAGAAAGAGTTTTTCCAGGGATTTGATGCTTTCTGCACTTAACAGATGACGATTTGCCATTTGTGCTAATCCAACCAAATCATCTCCAATAATACCATGGGAATGTTGTTAAAGCTCTCTTGGCTAGTGTTCTGTTAATTAGCATTGCCATATTCATCGGGGGCCTGCAATTCCATCATTGGGCCCATTAGATTTAGCCGGTTACACCATCTCAGGGACCACATACATTCTGTGTTGCTGGTGTGATTGGGCCCGTGGGCTATGAAAACGGAGGTTAACTTGGCATTTATCTAGCAAGATGTTCTCAGTCTGACGTTCTTGAATCCATAAGGACCCGACAATTATTTCAAAATGGTCTGTGTATTTTTTGCTGGATTGTAACTTTCGCCGTACTTTCAAAGGCGGTTGCTGATCCAAAATGGTTTGGGGCCATTCACTAGAGGACTTCAGAGACTTCCACTCTGCAGGGAGGAAGCCAGACCTTGAAGGGCAGGGGCTTACCTGGGCAGCAGGGTTTGCTGATGGCCCCTGGGCTTGTGCCCGCAAGACCCGTGTCTGCTTTTCTCCATCCTATGATGTTTTGTGGCCACAATCATGTCCTTTGTTTTGGGGAAGAGGAAATCAGGGAAGCGGATGCATCAGAAAAGATCACCTGGTGATTCCGTGGGAAAAGTGAGCCTGGGACTTTTCTGTCTGTTTTATTGTCGTCCTCACCCTTTCATGTAGCACTGTGGTTCTTTTCCAGGAAAGATGGAGTGGGAAGGATGAGAGGCTGAGCCCTGGCAGTGGGTCCTTTCTTTGTGTGAATTCTTAGATGCTCAATTATAAGTTAAAAAACAAAATTTTAATGATGGGCAACTTTTTTTTCCTAACAACAAAGAATCTTCATTCTCCTTCCCAAAAGAAGTATAAGCCTGTGTTGTGGGCTTAGCATGGGTAAATATTTTCTGCTTGCAATTACTTTATGCTTAGAAATAGTAGGTCTAATGGGTTAACACATACTACTATCATGAAATGTTTCAGGTTTGTCTGCAAGTAAGAATGATTATAGATACGAGATTTCTCCTGAGTCTTTCCCCACTCTGGTCACAGGCAATGAGAGCTCACCAGACTCTCCTTCTCACGGCAGCAACTGCTCCCACTACCTTTTTTGGCAAGCAATGAGCAGTTCAGCCTTTTCTCCACCCCCACCCCACCCCCCACTTCATCCCCAGTCAACCATGAGGCCCTAGTTAAAAGAGGGGCTCCTGGAGGCAAAGATGCTGAGTCGACTCCTGAGTCCACTGCAGACTGGCTGTGTGACCTGGGACCAGTTACTCTGCCTCTCTGTTCTTCAATTTACTCATTCGTTAAAGGGGATTAATCTCTACTTCATGGGGCTTTTGTAAGGATTGAGGACTCATTGAAGATAAGTTCCCAATATTACCTATTAACCAGTGTCTCTGATGTTGTTTTGCTTCTGAGTTTGACATTGACTATTTCATCCCTAAATGAAATAGTCCCCCCTCTACTCCTCCTTCCCAAACTCCACTTCAAAAGTGCCCAAACCTTTCCAATTTCAAGAAACCTCACGAGGTTCTTGTCACTCTGGCACACCCTCACATCCCACAAGGTGCTTGGCAATTGCCTCCGCTAACTGATCATCCTTTTCCCACGCACTAGCATTTTACTTGATGGGTGTGATGGTTGAACTAGCCTTACCAGGAGCGGCAAGAAGATTCATTGCTCACGACGCATCATACTCTGTAATGATTTATTTGGACTAATCTTCCTTGTTGCAGACTCATTAGTGGCTGTCACCAAATGGTGGCTTATTTAACTTTCACAAGGACGTGAGGCATTCACACCCTCCTGTTTCCTACTAGGGAAGGCACTGACGTCAGTTTTCACACGTTGGAAGCCTGGGGCCAGGCGTGCATTTTTATTTTGGTGAAGAATTCTTTATGCTCCTTGATGTTCCTATAAAACACAAGCAGAACGCTAGAATTTGCTCGTGGTGCGTCCGAGGTCTGTTGCTCTCTGTGCGGTATCTGCAGGAGATTCAGAGTAGGATCCTTTTGTGACATTGGCAAAAACAAGTGCAACTGTCGGTGATTGTTAGAGTGTGTGTTTAGCCCCTTAGATTTGAGGGAATTTGTGTGTGTCTTCTCTGTCTGCCCTCTCTTAAATTATAAAATCCCCAAGGGGCAAGGTGCAGTGGCTCATACCTATAATCCTAGCACTTTTGGAGGCCAAGGCAGGTGGATCGCTTGAGTCCAGGAATTCAAGACCAGACTGGTCAATGCAGCAAAACCCTGTCTCTACTAAAAAAAAAAAAAAAAATACAAAAGTTAGCTGGCCATGGTGGCGTGCACCTATAGTTCCAGCTACTTGGGAGGCCGAGGTGGGAGGATTGCTTGAGCCTGGGAGGTGGAGGCTGCAGTGAGCTGAGATTGTGCCACTGCACTCTAGCCTGGGCAACAGAGTGGGACCCTGCTTAATCAATCAATCAATCAATCAATCAAAAGTCTGCAAGAGAAGAGATTTTTCTTTTGGCCCCTATCAACTCTCACTGGAGAGCATCTAGTGCAGGCCTGTATGCTCAGACCAGGCACAGGAAATCAGGAATGTTTGCTGACTGATCTAGGAGAAAGCTGAGGACCCTCCACCATGACCCAGGTTAGTTCATGGACAGCTCTCAGGGACTGCTTTGCTTATGTCTTTAGCATTTGTGAGCTTGAAATCCCAGATGTTTAGTTCAGTTTCTCAACCAGCATCTGCAGCCTGAGTCATCTACATATTGTCTACTCAAAATGTATAAAACCCCTTCCCCCAATGTGTGCACAGAAGTGCACACATGTGCATACATACACGAAGGTGATCTAATATCTCAGGATGGTACTGAGTAGCAGTTGTATGCACCCACACACACATACACATGCACACATGCACACACACACGTACATGCATACACATGGTGTGGATACCACACAATGAGTGTGGAGCTTCGCCTTGTGTAAATACTGTCTGGGAGGAGTTGCTATCCAATTGAGACAGCTGAATTCTCCACAGGCTGGTTATGTGAGTCAGGGCTACTGACCAGTGGAGGACTGGCATCCTTGCGTTGTGGAGGACCAAAGACCCCCCTTTTCCTAATGGAACTGAGATTCAGCTGTTAGTAAGAGAGAAATGATTGGGAGCTGGGGAGGAGTGAGTCTACCTGCCCTGTACTTTCTTACTTTTCAATCTGTACTTGTAGGATTTGAGCAAATAAATACAAAATGATTTTCTTTCTTTCTTTCTGTTTTTTTTTTTTTTTTTTTTTTGAGACGGAGTCTTGCTCTGTTGCCCAGGCTGGAGTGCAGCCGCGGGATCTCGGGTCACTGCAAGCTCCGCCTCCTGGGTTCAAGCCATTCTCCTGCCTCACTCAGCCTCCCGAATAGCTGGGACTACAGGCGCCTGCCACCACGCCCAGTTAATTTTTGTATTTTTAGTAGAGATAGGGTTTCACCGTGTTAGCCAGGATGGTCTCAATCTCCTGACCTCATGATCCGCCTGCCTCGGCCTCCCAAAGTGCTGGGATTACAGGTGTGAGCTACTGCGCCTGGCCACAAAATGATTTTCAAAAGAAGTTTTTTTCTTCTAATGTTTTTTAATTTATTTAAGCATTAAAGGCTTCGTGAATTAGGCAGCATTCAAAACTAGAAGACATTCAGAGAGCTCCGTGTTTTTTGAAATTCAAGCAGGAAATAAAGTATAGAAATAGCTTAATTGGTTACAGTTAGGCATTTACCTTATTTGGACTTAGTCTGATCAGTTGGCTGCCTCTGGTTGGCTGAAGCTTGGCTGCCTGTGATTGGTTGAAGCTCAGCCGCTTGTGATTGACTGAGATCTAGCTATCCTATTACAAAAAATATATACTCCTAATGAGATTTTCATTTGTATACATACTAAGTTAGGTTGTAGTTCACTGCGAAGCAACTCAAAGTACAGCCTCAGACCAATGGCCTTTTGCTTATTTAATTTAACAGACACCTGAGTTATGCTTGCTGGGTTTTCTCTCCCAATAAAGGGACCCTTCATTCTGTCTGTGCCATCACGTGTTTAAGATTCACTCAAGACCTATCTCCTCTAGAAAGCCTTCCCCACAAATCCATCCCATGCTGTGAACTGAAAGCTGGATGCTCTCTCCCACTCTTGTCCTCCCAATTTCAAATCCACACAATTTGGCTCCATTATGAATAAACAAATAGCCCAGGGGACCATGGATATTTAGAATAAGGTTCTAAGAATGACATTCTTCCAATATAAGCCAATTTGTAAAGGCATTTTTAAAAGGAAGGTTTGCTCAGAAAACCCAAGGGCTGGGTGCTACGGATGGCCCATGAATGTCTGTGGCACGTGGGCTGCAGTTCTGCCCTTCTCTCTCCTGTCTAGCTGCATGGTTTCCCATCTCTGCTTGTTGATGTATATCTGATTCCTTCTGATTGTCTGTCCAGCCGCTTCCCTCGTTCCATTGTGGCAGAGCTGCTCGCGCATCACGTGATTTTTCAGATTTAGCTTGCACGTTGGAGTGGCCAATTCTCCCTGGAGAGGGATTCTGATTGGCTGAGCCAGGCGTCTGAATTGGTTCCCATAAATCAGTGTGACCAGGAGAGCAGGGTCACATATTATGTAATTCTGTACGGCTATGGGAGAGGGAACATGATACTAACAATAACCATCAATACAATCAGCACTTAGTACATTCTAAGTACTTTCAGACATTGTTGCATTTAATCCTCACAAAACGCTTGTGACATAGGTAATGCTATTATTCTAGTTTTACGAATCAGAAAACCACTGCACAGAGAGGTGAAACAACTTATTTGGCACTACACAGCTGGCCAGTGGCTGAGTCAGGAAGGGAAGCAGGCAGCATGGTTCTGGCATCTGTGTCTCTAATCATGACTCAACATTGCTTGTCTTAAACAGGCATTGCTAGGATACCACATCTTCATCTTTTTTATCCTTCTTGGTACCTATGCATTGGGCACTGAATGCCTGTTCAGTGATTTTTTTTTTCTTTTTCTTTTTTGAGACAGGGTCTTACTCTGTCACCCAGGCTGGAGGCCAATGGTGTGATCACAACTCACTGCAGCCTCAACTTCCCGGGCTCAAGCCATCCTCCCATCTCAGCCTCCCAAGTAGCTGGGACTGCAGGTGCATACCACCACGCCTAGCTAATTCTTTATTTTTATTTTTTGTAGAGATGGGATTGTGCCATGTTGCCCAGGCTGGTCTCGAACTCCTGGGCTCAAGCCATCTGCCTGCCTCAGCCTCCCGAAGTGTTGGGATTTCAGGCGTGAGTGACCATGCTCAGCCTAGTCAATGAATTGTTCGCTGAATGAATGGATGCCTGAGTGAATGAGAGAACACACAGAAGCATGCATAGTCTACAGGAAGTTTGGAATGGGCAATTGTGACGTGGGTCCTTTTTGGAGAGGAGTGAAGATGGCAGTCCCAGCTACTTGGGAGGCTGAGATGGGAGGATGGCTTGAGCCCGGGAAGTTGGGGCTGCAGTGAGTTGTGATCACACCATTGCCCTCCAGGCTGGGTGACAGAGTAAGACCCTGTCTCAAAAAAGAAAAAGAAGCTTCTTCCTGCTGTAGCTTGCTGGAGAGTTAACGTGCACATGTTCAAAGCGCTGTCTTTCCCCATCTCTCTTTTTTTTTTTTTGCTCAGACAAGAGTGAGAATGGTGAGGCATATCAGAGAAAGAAGGCGGCAGCCACTGGCCTTCCAGAGGGTCCTGCTGTCCCTGTGCCTTCTCGAGGGAATCTGGCACAGCCCGGCGGCAGCAGCTGGAGGAGGATCGCACTGCTCATCTTGGCCATCACTATACACAACGTTCCAGGTGAGGTCTTGCCCGTGAGCGTGACAGCCACTGCCTGAAGGTAAAGTCATTTGTCAGCACAGTTGTCTGGCTGGAAAAGGGGAATGGGCAATTGTGACGTGGGTCCTTTTTGGAGAGGAGTGAAGGTGGCAGTACAAATCTTTCTTGGCTTTATTTTTTGATCGTCATAGATAGATCATCATATGTGAAAACTTCCCATTCCGGTTAGTTTAAACAACTTCTACTTCCTTTTTGTTTACATATTTGTTACCAAGTTATTTGGAGCATAAATTCATAACTGTTACATGATTGCTGTGGAGGGTATCTTTTATAAATACTGGGTATCTCTGGTTCTGCTTAATGCTATTTGAAAATATAGTTGACCCTTGAACAACACAGATCTGAACTACGTGAGTTCACTTACACTCAGATTTTCTTCCGCCTCTGCCCCCTGAGAGAGCAAGACCAACCCCTCCTCTTCCTCAGCTGACTCAATGTGAAGAGGATGAGGATGAGACCTTTATGATGACTCACTTCCACTTAATGAATAGTAAATATATGTTATCTTATGAATTCCTTAATAACATTTTTTCTTGAGATTGCTATATTGTAAGAATACAGTTTATAATACATATAACATACACTATATGTACTAATTGACTATGTTATTGGTAAGACTTCTGGTCAACAGCAGGTTATTCATAGTTAAGTTTTGGGGAAGCCAAAAACTCTCTGCAGATTTTCTACTGCGCAGGGAACCAGCATTCCTAACGTCTGCATTGTTCGAGGGTCAAGTCTATTGAGTTCAGTATAATTTGGCACTGATAATTGCCTTACCTGCCTTCTTTATGTGGGCATCTTTCTGAAATGTTCTTACCAATCCTTTCCTATTTAGCATTTTAGAGTAATTTCTTTTATGTCTTTTTTTTTTTTTAAGACAGAGTCTTGCTCTGTCCCCCAGGCTGGAGTGCAGTGGAGCGATCTTGGCTTACTGCAGCCTCTGCCTCCTGGGTTCAAGTGATTCTCCTGCCACAGCCTCTTGAGTAGCTGGGATTACAGGTGTGCACCACCATGCCTTGCTAATTTTTTGTATTTTTAGTAGAGATGGGGTTTCACCATGTTGGCCAGGCTGGTCTTGAACTCCTGACCTCAGGTCATCCACCTGCCTCGGTCCCTCAAAGTGTTGGGACTACAGGCGTGAGCTACCACGCTGGCCTGTTTTATGTCTTTAGATGTATTTTAATTGGAAAAAAGGACATATTAATGCCTTATTTCAAAAACAATGAATGTTTCTTTTAGAGCAACTAGAAAACATGATTAAGCATAGGAAATGATAAAGATATTTTTAAAAATAAATAAACTGAGGGAACCTGAGCAATTTGGGATGCATTTTGAAATTCCAACTCTCTCACTTCCTAAGGAGGTTATCTTGACGAATTGCTTGAACTCCCTGAACCTTGGTTTTCTCATCTAAGAAATGGGGATAATGCCACAAGTGGCTTACTTAGAGAATTAAATGAGATGCTAAATATACATACAGCTTTCAGTACAGTGCTTGGGACTTACGAGCGCATTGTTGGCATCGATGATACTCCTGCTGCCTTTTCAGCCATGATTTCCTCGATCTTGAGATCTTAAACATGCTGACCCACCTTTTGTTGTTTGGGAATTCGAGTTTGAGCAATAATCTTCCCCAGGGAGCATCCTTGGGTGATACATTTTCTGAGTCCTTGCAGAGTTCATGGTGCCAATCTGTTACTCTAATACAGGAGCAAGAACTTGGCTGGGCAAAGCTTTCTAGTCATGACATTTTTCTCTACAAAGCTTCTGCAGATGTTGATCCCTTGTCTTCTGGCTTTAGTATTGTGGAAGCAAAAAGCATGGCCAAAGTGAGTCTGTTCCTCTGTATAACTTGATATTGTTTTGCTTGCACAATGAAGACTTTTTTTTGTCGTCTTTAAAGTGTGAAAATTCTAATACATATTATATATTCTAGTATATATTAAATCTGCCGAAAGCACTATGTGTTTAATTACTTTTTAAGCTCAGATATTTCTCTAGATAAGAAGCACATTCCTCTGTTATTTCTATCCTAATCTTAGGAATGTCTATCATACGATCATAGGTAGGCCAGTTTTCCCAACATTTTCATCAGTTTATGTGTCTCCCTCATTCCCCTCTTGACCCTTTTCTTTGAGTTATGAATAAGCTTTTTTTAGTTGGTTTTCCAATTTTTTTTTTTTTTTATATGAGACAGAGTCTCGCTCTGTCGCCCAGGCTGGAGTGCAGTGGTGCAGTCTCAGCTCACTTCAATCTCCACTTCCCGGTTCAAGCAATTCTCCTGCCTCGGCCTCCCGAGTAGCTGGGATTAAAGATGTGTGCCATCATGCCCAGCTAATTTTTGTATTTTTCGAAGAGACGGGGTTTCACCATGTTGGCCAGGCTGGTCTTAAACTCCCGGCCTCAAGTGATTAGCCCACCTCAGCCTCTCAAAGTACTGGGATTACGGGCATGAGCCACAGCATCTGACCCTGTTGGTTTTCTAGATCTTGGTATTCAGTATGTCTTGAGATAAAGATGGGGTCTTATATGGACCTCACTGCACAAAGATGGCCAAAGTGGGTTAGCCTTGGTGGAAGACCCTGCTCATGCCCACCCCGTATCTTAAAGAGGTCATTGAAAGACCCCTTGGTCCCCTGCAGAGGACTACTTAGGAGCCCTGACAGCAACTTGTAGCCTGTTAAGTGCTAATAGTTAGAGAAGAGAGGTTACTTGTTTTTCATTCATAATAGTAGCTGTCTTTCTGCCATTTATGACCCCTTCTTTAGCCAATTGAGGAAGAGTAAAGATCTGCCCAGTGGGTTTAGTGTTAAATAAGGTAACTACACTGAGGTGTATTACGGCAACTATTTCTCTGAAGAACAAAAATGTGGTCTAAGGTCCAGACTTTATAGCAATGGAATGAGTATCCAACTTTCCTCTAATGGACCCTTTTATATACCACACCTGCCACTGTACTTGGGTGATTCATTATGCTCAGCTGGAATTATTTCCTGGCTCATCCCAATGGAAGGCCAGGATGGTTCAGAGTTTACTTTCTCAAATGTTTGTTGACTCCAGTGACAACTTGGAATAAAGCCAGAAACAGGAGGAAGATGTGTGGAATGACAGCAATATTTGATGATCTTAAATGAGCATAAATTAAAATCTTACTTCTTCCCTGACAGGAGACCCTATTCTGTGTCTTTGGAGTTTCCAAGTCTAAGTTCAGCCTTTGTCACTTCTATGGTGATGCAAAAGCATTTTTTCAAATAAGGATTGAGGCCAGGTGCAGTGGCTCATGCCTGTAATCCCAGCACTTTGGGAAGCCAAGGTGGGCGGATCACTTGAGGTCAGGAGTTTGAGACCAGCCTGGCCAACATGGCGAAACCCCGTCTCTACTAAAAATACAAAAATTAGCTGGGAGTGGTGGCACATGCCTGTAATCCCAGCTACTTGGGAGGCTGAGGCAGGAGAATCACTTGAACCCAGGAGGCAGAGGTTGCAGTGAGCCAAGATCATGCTACTGCACTGCAGCCTGGGCGACAAAGCAAGGCTCTGTCTCAAAAAAAAAAAAAAAAAAAAAAAAAAGAGAGAGAGAGAGAGAGATTCATTGTTTTGAAAGATGGATTCTCTTATCTCCACACTCCATCCTGGGTGACACAGCGAGACTCCGTCTCAAAAATAATAGTAAAATAAAAAATAAATTGAAATGAGGATTGAGTGCCTTCCAGGAATCTCAACTGAGTTAGATTTCACCAGAAGCATGGTGGTAATAGTCACTGGTTTCAGTAAACTGGAGGACAGCTGGCTTGACTGGATGGAGAGGTTTGAAGGGACATTTCTTTCCCAGTCTTGTCTTTTATTTATTATATTTGAGTATTGTATTCCATGTACTTGGGTTATATCAGTACTAAAACAGACCAAGATCTCTGGCCTTCTATAACCAATATTATAGCAAGGTGAGATAGTCGATGAACATCATCATAATAAATGAATTTTATATTGTGTTAGAAGGTGGTTAGTGATTTAAAAAAAGAAAAAGTTCAACAGGGCAGAGGAGACGGTAGAGTGTTAGAGGAAGAAATTGCCATTTTAAATAGAGTAGGTAGGGAGGGGCTCCTTGAGATGTCCTTGAATTTGAGTCAGTCATGCAGATCTCTGGGAAACAGTGAGTGTTTTAGGCAGAGGGAACAGCCAGTGCAAAGGCCCTGAGGCAGGAGCATGTCTGGCCCCCACAAGGAGTAGCCAAGAGTCCACTGTGGCCACAGCAGGGTGAGCAGCAGGGAGAGAAGTACAAGGTGAGGGCAGGGATGTCAGCCCCTCCTTTAGATGGAACTTGGAGGCATAAGAATGTTTGTTTTTGCTCTGTGTGTGATGAGCCATTGCAGGGTTTTGAAGAGGGTGTGTATGACTTGACTTGAGCTTTGAAAGTTTGTTTCTCTTTAGATACTGAATTGAGATGGGACTTAGGAGAGGTAAGGATGGAAGCAGGGAGGCCTATGTAGAGGCCACTGCAGAATCCAGATCAAAGATGATAGTGGTGCAGACCAAGGTGGTCGTGCTGGATGTGGTGAGAAGGGATCCCTTCCTGGGTCCCGATTGAAGGTGGAGCCAATGGGATTTGCCGATGGATTGGATGTGGGATATGAGAGAAAGCGAGGAGCCAGGAGGGACCCGGAGGTTTCAGGGCTGCCCAGCTGCAGGGATGGAATTGCCATCAACTGAGACGAGGAAGGCTGCAGCTCCAGGGGCTTTAGGGGGACTATCAGGAATTTGTTTTTTGATTGTGAGGTTTGATTGCCATTAGACATTCAAATGGAGATACTGACTAGACAGCTGGATACATAAGTTTGGAGTTGGCTTGCAAAGTCTAGCTAGAGTTATAGATTTCTGAATCATTGGCCCATGAATGTTTTTTGTTTTTTTGTTTTTTGTTTTTGAGACAGAGTCTGCCCTGATGCCCAGGCTGGAGTGCAGTGGCGCAATTTTGGCTCACTGCAACCTCCACCTCCTGGGTTCAAGAGGTTCTCCTGCCTCGGCCTCTCAAGTGGTTGGGACTACAGGCGCATGCCACGACACCTGGCTACTTTTTGTATTTTTGGTTGAGGCAAGATTTTGCCATATTGGTCAGGCTGGTCTTGAACTCCTGGACTCAAGTGATCCACCTGCCTTGGCCTCCCAAAGTGCTGGGATTACAGGCGTGAGCCACTGCGCCTGGTCCCTTGGCACATGAATGTTACTTAAACCCCTGACACTGGATGAAGCCACCAAGGGTCTAACTACAAATAGATGTGTCTCCAAAGACCCACTGTGGCTCATTCCTCAAGTCTTCAGCTCCTAATCCTGTCTAAAGAGAAGTGAACTCCCTCACCATCACTGTCAAGCAGCTTCATGTCTTTGATGAGGACCATTTTAAGAGCCTGTTTGGAGCCAACTTACCTTTGAAAAGGTCTCTTCTTTAACACTATCCTTTATAGTGTATTAAAAATTTAACTAGAGCTTTGACATTCCCTGAGACTCTGGGTTTTTAAGACAGACTTTTCACAATGACTAAATGGAGAATCGATTCTTTTTTTTGAAGTTTTTTGTCTTTGCTATTTCAGTTTAGTATGTCCTGAGGATGACATTTTGCTAAAAAAAATTTTTTTTTGGAGTAGAAGGAAAATGGAAGGCTTGTTAATAGTAGCCTATCTCCCGGAGGTATCCAGAGTGTGAGGCCACACCCGAAGGCATATGCACACATCTGGGGCTCTTGGGTTAATATTTAATACACATGTGCAAGGTCAAATAGTTCTTAAGCTTCTGTGGTTCACAGTTGTCCTGTGAATCTGATAAGAGCTATACACCATCTCACAAGAGGATGTTGTACACATGTCTTAGTCTGTTCAGGCTGCCATTACAAAATGCCATACAATGGGTAGCTTAGAAACAACAGAAATTTATTTCTCACAGTTCTGGAAGCTGGAAGCCTGAGATCGGGCTGCCAGCATGGTCGTGGTCAGGTTCTGGTGAGGGTCCTTCTCCGGGTTGCAGGTGACTGTCTTCTCGTTGTATCCTCACATGGTGGAAAGAGGGCACTCTCTGGAGTCTCATTTCATGAGGTTGTTAATCCCATTCATAAGAGCTCCATCTCACGACCTAATCACTTCCCCAAGTCCCCACCTCCTAATACCATTCATTCCCTAAGTCCCCACCATCCTAATAACAATACCATTGGGGATTAGGTTTCCAAATATGAATTCTGGGGAGACATAAACCTTGAGACCACAGCCACACACAATATTTTGCAGACAATTCTGGGTGTTTAGACTTTATGGAGTCTATCCACAACCCTAGAACAGGAAAGAACCCCTCCCCAGGCCGGGCGCGGTGGCTCACGGCCTGTAATCCCAGCACTTCGGGAGGCTGAGGCAGGCAGATCACGAGGTCAGGAGATAGAAACCATCCTGGCCAACATGATGACACCCCGTCTCTACTAAAAATATAAAAATTAGCTGGGCGTGGTGGCACGTGCCTGTAATCCCAGCTACTTGGGAGGCTGAGGCAGGAGGATCACTTGAACCCAGGAGGCAGAGGTTGCAGTGAGCCGAGATCGCACCATGGCACTCCAGCCTGGAGGCAGAGCAAGACTCCGTCTCAGAAAAAAACAAATAAGCAAAAAACCCTCCCCTTTAGAGGACAAAGAAAAGTATAGTTGTGCAATTGAAATGTCTTAGGAAGAAATGGTAATGACTGATGCAGACCAGCAGATGCAGGCAGGCGCAGTAAAAAGAGCACTAAAAGGCAGACTCCAGAAACAGAGTGCAGACACCACCCGCCTCCTTCTAAGCTACTTCCGTGGCGCCTGCCTGGGTGCATCTGTGGGGGTGGTCTATGGTGTTTGTGTCTGCTGCAGAAGGACACCCTGAGGAAACAACATGTTTTTTTAGAAAACCAACCCGAGACTGCAGCCTTTTGAGCATACTGTCTCTTGAAGTGCTGTCCATGCAGTATCATACAGATTGAAGGGCTCTGAGCCTTCCAAAGATTCCTGGCCCTTCTGTTTTTGAATGGCATTAAAAATCACCTAGCAATTGAGTTCCTACTAATCACTTATCATGAGTACCTTATGGTCTCAACAGTGAACTGCACCATTGCTTTGTATGGGAGAAAGTTAAATTGGAAGCTTAAAGAGATTCTAGGGGTTATCTCATTCAAACATTCATTCATTTGAAAATTTAGGGGATTGTGGTAAATTATTGTTATGGCTCCTTCTAGCCTTAGCATTGGATGATAACTGTGAAGAATCATAGAAATATTTATTATTAATTTCATTTATTTAACAAAGTTAATCACTCCTTCCTTTGTGATGTCTTGCTGTATCCTTTATCTTCTGTTACCATAATTATCACTCTGACTTACAATTACCTGTTTGTGTGTTTTATTTATTTATTTATTTTTAATTTTTGTCAGTAACATAGGTATGTATATTTATGGGGCCATGAAATACATATGCGCGTGCGTGCACACACACACACACACACACACACACACATAGTTTTTTGAGACAAGATCTCTCTCTGTCACTCAGGCTGGAGTGCAGTGGTGTGATCATGGCTCACTGCGGCCTCAACCTTGGGCTCAGTTGATCCTCCCACCTCAGCCTCCTGAGTAGCTGGGACTACAGGTGCATACCACCACACCCAGCTAATTTCTTTTTTTTTTTTGTATTTTTTGTAGAGACAGGGTTTTGCCATGTTGCCTAGGCTAGTCTCGAACTCCTGGGCTCAATAGATTCTCCCGCCTTAGCCTCCCAAAGTGCTAGGATTACAGGTGTGAGCCACCTCGCCTGGCCTGCATGAAATATTTTGATACAGGTATGTAATGCATAACCCATCAACTTAAGCATTTATCCTCTGTGTTACCAACAATCCAGTTATACTTGTAGTTATTTTAAAATGTACAATTATTATATTATTGACTATAGCCACCCTGTTGTGCTGTCAACTACTAGGTCTGACTCATCTATTTTTTTTTGTACCTGTTAACCATCACTACTTTCCCCCGACTCCCCGACTGCCCTTCCCAGCCTCTGGTAAACATCCTTCTCCTCTCTATCTCCATGAGTTCAATTGTTTTAATTTTTAGCTCCCACAAATAAGTGAGAACATGAGAAGTTTGTCTTTCCATGCCTGGCTTAGTTCACTTCACATAATAACCTCCAGTTCCATCCATGTTGTTGCAAATGACCGGATCTCATTCATTTATGTGGCTGAATAATACGCCATTGTGTGTATGTACCATATTTTCTTTATTCATTCAACTCTTGATGGATGCAATTACCTGTATTTAAACATGTTTATTTGCCCCTGATAGATGGAGCTTCTTGCAAGAAGTTCTATACTGCGTTCTTTTTGGGGGGCCCAATGTTATAACACATACTGAAGCTTTGATGTATTCAATATGTATTATATACTTGAGCACCTAGAAGAACTGGTGCATTGGGTACCTGCCCTCCATTCTAAGAGAGGAGGGGCTGTTTGAGAGTTAGGTGTCCTAATTTTTTATTTTTTATTTTTTGAGACGGAGTCTTGCTCTGTCACTCAGGCTGGAGTGCAGTGGCGCCATCTCAGCTCACTGCAAGCTCCGTCTCCCAGGTTCACACCATTCTCCTGCCTCAGCCTCGCCAGTAGCTGGGACTACAGGCGCCCCCCACCACGCCTGGCTAATTTTTTGTATTTTTAGTAGAGACGGGGTTTCACCGTGTTAGTCAGGATGGTCCTGATCTCCTGACCTTGTGATCTGCCTGCCTCGGCCTCCCAGAGTGCTAGGATTACGGGCATGAGCCACTGCACCCAGCCAATTTTCTTTCTTTTTGAGATGGAGTCTCGCTCTTGTCACCCAGGGTAGAGTGCAGTGGCGCGATCTCAGCTCACTGCAACCTCCGCCTCCTAGGTTCAAGCTTCTCCTGCCTCAGCCTCCTGAGTAGCTGGGATTACAGGCACCCACCACCACGCCCATCTAATTTTTGTACTTTTAGTAGAGGCGGGGTTTTGCCATGTTGGCCAGGCTGGTCTCAAACTCCTGACCTCAGGTGATCCGCCCACCTTGGCTTCCCAGAGTGCTGGGATTACAGGTGTGAGCCACCACTCCCAGCCGCCTAATTTTCTTTCTACATTGTCCAGGTGGGCCAAGGGAGGACATTGACTCATGTGGGTCCTGATGATACATTGGCAGACTCTTGCTGCCTTTTGTGTTTGAAATTATTTTAAAGGTCCAGAGAAGAGGGTAGGTGAATTCCATGCTTTTTATTTTCCTCTCAATAGTATCAAGAGCCAAGTTTGTTTTGCTGGTTGTTGCTATGACATAGAGGCCTGGGGACCACTGTTTGTGTTGCTAGAACCACACAACAGTTGGTTTTGGTCATGTGGCCTGTCCTCATTGCCAGCTCCTGATAATGGCTTTCAAAGAAATGCTTGGGATTTTAATCCAAAGTGATTTTTTTGTTTCAGGGAACAGGAACCCAAATTTAGACATGAAAATGTTCACAGTGGTTGGTTATTCCTGGGTGATAGGATTGCAGATGACTTTTATTTTCTTCCTGTTTTTGTGAGATTTATAACTAAGCTTTCCTGTAGTAAATATTTATGACTTGCGATCAGATAAAAATGCTTTTTTGGAAAGGTGAAATTCTTGCCTTTTTTAAGCTTGCCACATTAAACGTTAATGTCTGCAGCACCACGTTGGCGTGGTTCTCACTCCAGATGCATCAGACTCAGTTCATCAAGGAGTTACCATCACCTAACCACTTCAACACCTCAACCCTCAACTTATGCACAGAAGTAGAGAGATGTTATTCCTTTATGCTAGAGATCATCTTACTGGGGTTGTTTTAATATTTAGACAAGTTAGAAGCAGAATGAAGGACTGCCTTGGTTTTCTTTGGCTGGTGTAACCAATTATCACAAACTTAGTGGCTTAAAACAATCCAGATTTATTCTCCTGCAGTTCTGGAGGCCAGAAGTCTGACATCAGTTTCACTGTGATAAAGTCAAGGGGTTGGAAGGGCCGTGTTCTTGCCGGGGGCTCTAGGGGATAATCCATTCCTGGCCTCTTCCAGCTTCTGCAGGCTGCAGGCATTCCTTGGCTTGTGGCCACATCACTCCAATCAGTACCTCCAGGATCACTGCTTTCTCTTCTGTGCCAAATCTCCCTCTGCCTTTTTATAAAGATTCTTGTGGTTGCATTGAGGGACCACCCAGATTATCCAGGATAATCATATCTGAAAAATCTCCTTTGTCATGAAAGGTAACATTCACAGGTTTCAGGAATGAGGACCTGGATATATTTGGAGCCATCATTTGGCCAACCACAGAGACCAAAGGTATCTTCTGAATGCAGGCCAGAGATTCTTAGCTTGAGTTCTGAAATGTCTTCAGCAGCCAGCATTCCTTTATAAGTCTAAGCCTGGCTCTTATGGAGTCTTAGTCTCACCCTGGGACTCCCATGGGCTATCAGCTGTGTCATCCTTATTTCCCATCACTGGCTTTCTGTGTTTGAGCCTCTAAAGAATTCCTAAGTCTTAATGAGCCCATTCAGCAACTTACTCCCCTGGTCCTTCATCAAGTGAGAGTTTTGGGGTGTTAGTAAAAGACGACGTAATATTTACTTAGCTTATACATGTGCAGTGGGGATGGCAGGGAATGGGGGAGAGTGCTGCCATCCATATCTCATGGGCCCTTTTCCCCTGCCTGCCTCCACTGCTATCATAACTCCATGTTATCCCTCAGTTCTTCGTGATGAGCCAATTCACAGTGACAGACGTTTGTGGCTTGTGATTATAGCTGACATTCTTTTTCTCAAGGTCAGTGGCATATTTAAATGGTTACTGACCCTACTCCATCTCACACATGATCTGTCGCTCAATCTCTCTCTTTCTCAAGCAACTTTATTGTGTGGCATTTTCTCATCCCCACGCTCACTGGTAGTTAGGAGGTCTGTCAATTACACTTCCACACTGAGGAAAGAGTCCCTGTTAACTTTTTTAAAAGAATGTGATATGATTCACATACCATAAAATTCACCCTTTTAAAGTTCACAATTCAAGGCCAGGCACAGTGGCTCATGCCTGTAATCCCAGCATTTTGGGAGACTGAGGTGGGTGGATCGCTTGAGCCCAGAAGTTGGAGACCATCCTGGGCAACATGACGAGACCCCCATCTCTACGAAAAATTAAAAAACTAGCCAGGTGTGGTGGTGCACGCTTGTGGTCCCAGCTACTTGGAAGGCTAGGGTGGGAGGATTGCTTGAACCCTGGAGGTCAAGGCTGCAGTGAGCCGTGGTTGTGCCACTGCACTCCAGCCAAGGTGACAGAGCAAGACCTTGTCTCAAAAAAAAAAAAAAAGAAAAGGAAAGAAAAATAAATTTCACAATTCAGTGGTTTTAGTATATCTGAAAGGTTGTGCAACCACCATCACTATCTTTTTAATTTTTAATTTTAATTTTTTTCTTCCAGTAGAGACAAGGGTGTTGCTGTGTTGGCCAGGGTGGCCTCGAACTGCTGGCCTCAAGAGAACCTCCTGCTTCAGCCTCCCATAGTGCTGAGATTATAGGTGTAAGCCACTGTACCCAACCTACCACTATTCCTGAATACTCTCATCACCCTGTAAAGAAACCCCACACTCTTTGAGCAGTACCTCTGAGGAAAAAAAGAAACTGCATGCTTATTAGCAGTCACTCCCCATTCCTCCCTCCCTCCAGCCCCTGCACTAATCTACTTTGTCTCTACAGTTTCCCTAACCGGGACTGACTTTCATTTAAACGGTATCATGTAATATGTATGTTTTTGTGT
Organism: Homo sapiens; assembly: GCF_000001405.40. Lineage (NCBI taxonomy): Eukaryota > Metazoa > Chordata > Mammalia > Primates > Hominidae > Homo > Homo sapiens. The sequence goes on along the minus strand of NT_187616.1, from coordinate 4,454 downwards.
CTGGTTTCTTTCACTTGGCATGATGCTTCCAAGTTTCGTTGATGTTGTAGCATGTATCAGTAAGTCTTTCTTTTTCTGGCCAGATAATACTCTATTCTATGGATACACCGTGTTTTGTTTACTGTTTCATCACTTGATGGACATTTGGATTGTTTTTACTTTTTTGGGTGTTGTAAGTAATGCTGCTATGTGTGTTTATGTCTTTGTATGGACCTGTGTTCTCTTGGGTACATACCTTGGAGTAGAATTGCTGGGTCATATGGAAACCTTTGAACTCTTTGAAGCCAGTTCTTTTTGTTAAGTTCCTTCCCATTCATTCCATCCAGCAGAGTCCTTTGACACAAAGGGATAATCTCTGTCCCACCTACCATGGCACTTGCTTGGGGTGTCTATGAGTCCTGCTTTTTTTTTTTTTTTTTTTTTTGAGCAATATACATTTTTATAGTACATTTTTAAAAAATCTAGTGAATTTTCCTCCAAGTCAATAGACAGGAGAAAAATAAAGTTGTTTTTTGAGCCCTGCTTTCCAACGAGGTGGCAGTTGCTGTGGATTTTGATTTTGTGTGGAATATGGAGGATCTGTTGGAATGCTGAAAAGTCTGCGGACAGCTGCAGGTGGCCAGGGAGGCTGCTGCTGCTGACATTGGTGATGTGAGCCTGGACCTTCAGCTTGCCCTTGTGCAGTCTCCCCGTGCTGCAAAGGGTGGCTTTGGAGGGGCAGCAGTGCGAGACCAGGGCCCCGACTTGCAAGAAAGGAGCTACTAGCCATGAGAAAGAACATGTTGATTTTTCATTTTCCTGGGGTAAAGACTGAGCAGAAAATTCTACTGTTAGGTACAGACCTTTCCAGGAGAAACCGTGATGCAACAGCTTCTGCTTCACATTGCTCTGCTTCCAGAAACTGGAGGGGCCTTCTCAGTAGCCGGCGACTCAGGCTCAGTTAATGAGGAAGCAGAACACCACACAAAGGCATGCATCATTGACCATAATAAAATATACCAATAATGCTAAAGGCTGCCACTTACGGGGGCCTTTCAAGGTTCCAGACGCTGTATAAAGTGCACCACATACATGATTTAGATATTTGCGTCCCTGTTTTACATTTTAGAAACTGAGACCTAGAAAGTTTAAAGATCAAGCCCAAGACCAGGCACGGTGGCTCACACCTGTAATTTCAGCACTTTAGGAGGCCGAAGCAGGTGAATCGCTTGAACCTGGGAGTTCAAGACCAGCCTGGGCAACGTGGGGAAACCCCATCTCTACAAAAAATACAAAAATTAGTGGGGTATGGTGGCGCGTGATTGCAGTCACAGCTACTCGGGAGGCTGAGGCAGGAGAATCGCTTGAGCCTGGGATGTGGAGGCTGCAGAAAACTGAGATCGTGCCGCTGCACTCCAGCCTGGGTAACAGAGCGAGACCCTGTCTCAAAAAAAAAAAAGCCCGAGGCCACACAAGCAATGATGGGTACAGCTTAACTCACACTCTGTCTCCGTGTGTTGTGTCTCACTGGTGAGCTCTGTGTTTCTTTTCTTCCCGTGGATCACACTGTTTTTCAGAGAGAGTTACAGAGAAGTTCAGGAAATGCTTCTTGCTTTTCTTAAGCTTGCCACATTAAATGTTAATGTCTGCAGCACCACGTTGGCGTAGTTCTCACTCCAGATGCATCGGGCTCAGTTCAGCAAGGAGACTTGGGCAGGGAAACCTGGGCAGGAAGCCTCACCGTACACAGGGCCCACCACTGTGGGTGCTCTAGGAGATGTGTAAAATGAATGCCTGTGAGGCCCCTGCACACCTATCACCACCACTGATGCTCCAGGACCCAAGCAGGTGGTCGCCCACAGGCATAGGACAAGCACAACCTTTAGAGCAGAAAGGCCAAGACTTGGATCCTGGAGCCACCAAATGCTTTACTAGGTAGGTAACCTTAGGTGAGATCATGAGAGTCTTAGCTTTCCCAGCTGTAAAATGCAGATAATAGCTACTTGGCAGTTCATTATTGAGACGACAGCAGTAGCAACAAGCAGGGCCACCCACTGTGTTATCTGCTATTCAGAGTGTATCGTTGGGAGGCCGAGGCATGCAGATCACTTGAACTCAGGAGTTCAAGACCAGCCTGGGCAACGTGGCAGAACCCCGTCTCTACAAAAAATACAAAAATTAGCTGGGCGTGGTGGCACATGCCTATAGTCCCAACTACTCAGGAGGCTGAGGCAGGAGAATCACTTGAGCCCAGGAGGTAGAGGCTGCAGTGAGCCGTGCTTGTGCCACTGCACTCCAGCCTGGGTGACAGAGCAAGACCTGTCTCAATAAAAAAATAAAGAGTATTGTGGTTCCTAGAACACAGCAGGACCTGGAAAACATTAATTCCCCTCCACCTCCTCCTCTTCCCCCAAACTCTACCACCCACCTACTTTTGCCTTCAACTTGCTTTGATCCTCAAAAATTGTCTGGTTCTGGTTGTGGAGGTCTTAAATGGGGACGTCACAGATGGCTTTAATTTTCATCTCCAACAGGTTACATTTGAAGATGCTTCTCATTTACTGCAGGAGTTTGAAAACATTGTAATATTCTCCTTTAATTATCAGTATCTCAGTGGGAAGCCTGACATTATAATTAGCACAGGCTCCTACATGGGATGACATTTTGCTCAACATATCATGTTCCTGGTGTGCACTGAGGCAGAAGCCGGTAGCACACTTCTAAATGACGCTGTTGGATTTGAGCATGAGAGTTGGCACCAACGCCCAGAGGGCAAAATCACAACTCTGGGAATCCTCCGTGATCCCAAATAAAAGTGGCAGGGAAACTTTTAGACATTCTGTCATCTCCTGCACAGGCGACAGACGCGCAGATGCCTGAGCCCTACTTTCTGGCCTTCAGATCAAGGAAGCTACAGCCAGAGTGAAAGTCTAATGCTGCGCTAGGATTGGGGTTAAAATCAAGACTCATTTCCACGTCGATTGTATTATGCCATCCTCCTACCTATTATGTAAATTAAAGAGAAAACTAAAGCAAGAGAATTTGAATACATTTTTGTATTAGGAAGCAAAGTTTCCAATAACTTCCAGTTGTCTTTCTCCCATGGCCAGGTATTGGCTAGAACATGGTTTAATACAATCTTTTATTTTATTTTATTTTATTTTATTTTATTGTTTTGTTTATGGAGTTGGAGTCTCACTCTGTGGCCCAGGCTGGAGTGCAGTGGCGCAATCTCAGCTCACTGCAACCTCCGCCTCCCAGGTTCAACCTATTCTCCTGCCTTAGCTTCCTCAATAGCTGGAATTACAGGCGTGTGTCACCATGCGCAGGTAATTTTTGTATTTTAGGTAGAGATGGGGTTTCACCATATTGGCCAGGCTGGTCTCAAACTCATGACCTCAGGTGATCCACCCGCCTCAGCTTCCCAAAGTGCTGGGATTATAGGCGTGAGCCACCGTGCCCAGCCTAGTAAGATCTTTTAGACTTGCTGTGTCCAATTCCATAGTCCCTGGCCACCTGTAGTTCTCTAAATTTACATGAGTTAAACTGGAATAAAATGCAAACTTTAGCTCCTTAGCATGACTTAGCCACACATCAAATACTTGTATCTAGTGGCTACTGTGTTGGACAACACAAGATGTAGAACGCTTCCATGATCACAGGAAGTTCTACTGGATGACACTGCACTAGACCCTTAGCAAAAAAAAGTAACTTCACAAATTGTTTGTTGTGTAGTGCCTACCCAAGCTTGCCTTGGGAGGAGTTCCATTTCTGGAAGACAGTGTAAGAGAGCTGTTCTCAGTCATGGGGTATGTCCTACATATATTGTGAATAAAATAATTTAAATGTCAGCCTTTTCACATTGTTTCTGATAAATTCAGGATGCTGCAGAGTCATCCTGTGATACCATTCTCTTGCTCCTGTTGGTTCTGAGTTTTTTTCTTATTTCCTGAGTTGGGGACTGAAGTGGGTTGCGAGTTGTGCCGGGACTTGTGTAGCAGGCTCGAGAGCATCATGATGTCTGATGTCGGGGGATGGAAGGAGCTGCACAAGGGCTGAAATAGTAGCTCATCATCTTGTCCTCTGGTGTTATGTGTTATCTGCCAGTAGACAACCTCTCCTCACCCCAGCCCAAGCCAACATCATTGGTCTATGTCAGCTTAGCCCCTCTCACAGAACAGCCTCCTGTGACTTAACTCAGGTTTGAAAGAAAGGATGTTAACCGTCAGATGAAAATCACTGGAGTCTTTATTGTCAGCTTTCTGCTAGAGCCATTGTCCTGTTCATCCCCCAATGCCTCTAGATAAAACTTTTAGAATACACTGCCTGGAAAAGCTTTGCCTCCCTGTGGGAATGACAGACATTGATCGTGTAGACCTTTTTTTATTCTTTGGCTGCTAGGAAGCACAGCACTTCATTTGCTGCTTTGTGATAAGGATAAAGTGCATTCTTAAGGTCTGAATATCTGAATATCT